>NC_000009.12:34252424-34403939 GCF_000001405.40 Homo sapiens | reverse complement strand
AAGAAGCTGGGAAAAAGCTGGAATCAGCTGAGCACTGGCAAAGAAAGAGGGTCAAAGAGTAGAAGACAGAGATTCAGAGACATGAGGTCAGGGGAAATTTCCAAGTGAGTCACAGTAGCTGTAAAGGTCCTTCCCATCCTTACCCTCTGGAGCATTTGGCTATTTTATGAGTCATTTTCCCTAGTGTCCCTCTCCACCTAACAGTTCCTTTTCCTAGATCTGGCCTTTACTTGAGATGAGTAGGGAAGAGTAGATGGGACTCCTCCAAGACCCAGGAAGCTACTTCTGGTAACAGTTGTCACATACCAGGCAGTGGACTGGGTCACCTGATGGCCAGCTCCATGAAGCTGGTAGGCTTTGGAACCTTGGAGAACTCAGACCTTGGCAAAGGAGTCAGGAGCACCACTCAGGCAGCGTAGCCAAATGGGCTCCCCCAGCCTTCTGCCCCTTACTTTGTAGCCCCATCCTGCACCTCCCACACCATAACCTTCAGTGGCTTCTTCTTCCTTCTGCGTTAATCCCAAACTCCTCTGTCTGGCATTCAAGTCCTTCATGTTCTGAGTTTGTAACCAGAGAGGGTCTTCGGCCCCTTAGCACAGGACCAGACTTATAATTAGTGACATGGATATTTGTTGAATAAGTGGCTGAATAAATGAATTTTACTTCTCTAACCTGACCTCTCTCTTCACCCCTCTATCCAGAGCCACACTTATGCTCACTTTTAAATGCATTTTTGCACACACTATCCCTCCTTCCTAGAATGTCCACCTCTCTCCAGGTCATGGTGTCACCTAAAGGAAGCCCTCTCTGACTGCGCCATCCTTCTGTGATTGTCTCTCCCCCGCCAGCCTTTCCCTGGCATCAAGTACACACTAACTACCCTAACATGGGAGTTGTGGTTCCTGAAAAACAGGGGGCAGCCTCCTCTTTTTGCCCCCCACTGTCTGCCTCAGGTTGTGCAGGGCCAGGTACTATCTCCACCAAGCAGCAGGGGCCTGGAGTTGGGATCCCTGCCTCAGTCCTTCTAGGAGCAAGTGGTTTCACAGTGGAGGCCCAGCCCAGGCTGCCCTGAGTAGTAAGACAGGGTGGCCTCAGGGGCAGGACACAGCTTCCTTCCCATGTTCTCCTGCAGAGAAGCAGCGGGAGCTGGCCCGGAAGGGCTCCCTGAAGAATGGCAGCATGGGTAGCCCTGTCAACCAGCAACCCAAGAAGAACAATGTCATGGCCCGAACAAGGTAGAGGCCCTCCCTACCCCACCTGGACCCTGCCAGCCAGGACCTATTTCTGCTGGTCCTGAGCCTCCCCCTCTTCCCTCCCTCCTCAGGCCCAGCTCCTCTCTGAGAGGAGACAGCCTTAACAGGATCCAAGGTGGGGAGGGAGGGAAGAAAGTGGTGGGACGGGGCCCAACCCAGTCCCTTGCCAGGTTTCTATGCTCCACTTTGCCACTCTAACTCCCGAAATTCTTCACCTAGGCTGGTCGTCCCCAATAAAGGCTACTCCTCACTTGACCAGAGCCCTGATGAGAAGCCACTGGTAGCCCTTGACACGGACAGGTGTGTATGGGGGCTTGGGGGTAGCTGGGCAGCCCAAAGGAACCTGTATAGCACAAGTGGGCTGTACAGGCCACACCTGCTATATTGTCAGAATTGGGATATTCTTCAGCCAGAATCTCTCCAAGGGTGAATTCTCCAGGGATGGGAATTTTTTTACACCAGGGACTGGGGGTTGAAGAGAGGTGGCAGAGAGAGGAAAGGGGGGCCTGCGTTGTCTGCTGTCATCCTGGGACAACTGATCCAATGGTTGTCCCTAATTGGCCTGTGATGTTGTCTCTGGACAGCAGAATATGATGCTTAATGCCCCATCCCCTCAGGAAGGAGCCCTACTCCCTGGAAAACACCTGGCTAGACTTGGACTTTGGGAATATCCTACAAGTCAGGGTGATTTGAGTCTACAAAAAAAAAAAAAAAGATGAGAAGGGGGTGAAAGGAGTAACTGCTATATTTAGAAGGAGGTTAAGGATAGCAATTGATTTTAAGGGTGGGGCTAGGGAACTTGTCTTTAAAATCCTGCATTTGCACAGCAAGCACAGTTCGTATTGAGATTTTGCTATTTGGAACTGTAAGGGAGGTATAGGATGCTGCCTAATGGGAGGTGGGATTGCAGAGAGTTTTCTATGTAATTTCTTGGTATCACTTTCCCTCTCTTTCCTCCATGGCCAGCGATGATGACTTTGACATGTCTAGATACTCCTCCTCCGGCTACTCCTCTGCTGAGGTGAGCCCCTACCCCTTCTCACCCTAGACACCACCGGGCAGGATCACTGCCATCCCGGGGGAGGGCTGGGGCCAATGCCCAAGTACAAGGAAAAAGAGGGCTGGGCAAGGCTGGGTGGTGCCCTGCACAGGGTGGGCCTGGGATAGGATGGAAGAGAAGTGGTTACTGGCCTCAAGTGCATGGAGCCCAGGGTTAGGAGTGGGGCTTTAGATTGCAGCAGGCCATTTAAATAGAATGGGTGTAAAATACAGGTGATATCCTCTAGTAGCCGGCCTGAGATAGGGGCAAAACCCGAATAGGAGCAGGACCAGAGGTGTGAAGTTGACCATAGAATGGGGAGGGGTGACTAGAAAGAGAGGCCAGAGGCGAAGGAGGGCGCCTAGGCAGGAGCGGGGCCTGGGGGTACAGACAGACCCGGGACAGGGCGGGGCTGATATCCAGGGCACTGGCTGGACTGGGGCGCAGACGGCCTGGAGTGGCCGCAGAGCTGTGGGTGGTGCCTCCCTGCCGCTCGGGCCTGACCTCCCTCCCCTTTGCCTACAGCAGATCAACCAAGATTTGAACATCCAGCTGCTGAAGGACGGCTACCGGTTAGATGAGATCCCCGACGACGAGGACCTAGACCTCATCCCCCCCAAGTCCGTGAACCCCACGTGCATGTGCTGCCAGGCCACGTCCTCCACCGCCTGCCACATTCAGTAGCGGGCGGGGCCACTGCGGTCGCCGGGGCGGGGCCGCCAAGGGCCGGGTAGGACGGGCAGAGGCCGACCCCTTCCCAGCTCGTCTGCCTGCCCCCGGCCCCGCGCCCCTACAGCCGCCAACCTCGTATAACAGTCATTGCTTCCTCCTATGGTAGGACGTGTACCTCTGTGTGTTCATGGAGCTGGAGAAACCAAAACTGGGTCTCTCTCCACCCGGGAGCTGAGGAGGGGTGGGGGCCGTTTGTTCAGTTACCTGGGGGAACCTCACCCAGCACCCTGCCCCGCTTCCCAGGGCTGGCCAAGAGAGAAGACTGGACGGCAGGGAGGTCAACATTAACGAGTGGGGGGATCACAAAGCCAGGGGCTTGGCCCCACCCCAGCGAAGCCATGAACTCCCAAGCCCCGGCCTCAGCCTAACCAGGAAAGGGGCTCGGAGGGAGAAAGGCCCAGGGCAGTGGGGACGGGTCCCAGCACCTCGGAGCCCCCTTCACACGCCCCCTACCGGCCCATGTTTCTATTTGCATTTCCCCCTCCTCAGATGGGAAGCCTGGCAAAGCTGCCCAACCGGGTAGTGCCCCTCACCCATCGGATCACTGCCTTCTTCCTCCTCTTGCCCCATTCACCCGCTTCCTTGCACTCTGGGAGTGGGGCAGGGTAAGGTGGGCCTTACAGACAGGCTGAGGTTTGGGTGGTGTGATCTGTCCTAATTGGCCCCTCACCAATGCATCTATCTGTCTGCCACCAGCCCACCCCACCCTGCCCCCACCCTCACCCACGCTTCTGCTCATTGGTCTCAATCCCAGCCTGGAAGCAGGGAGTAAGGCTGGACTCCAATGGCCCATTCCCCTCACCCCAGCCCAAGACGTGGGAGGCTGCTTCCCAGTAAGAATCCAGGAGCAAGCTTTGGTGAATCCAGTGGGCTGAGTGGCTCTATGGATGTGGTTGTTTGGATGTGGTAGGGAGTGCTTAGCAGAATGTGTGTGTATCTCTGAGGCTGTCAGGGGGTGGGTGGGTGTGTGTCTCTGTTGGACCTGTCTCTCCTCAGTCTATTCCTGTCATAGATGTGGGTGTCCCTGGTAGGGAAGTGCCTGTGTGGTCTGTTTACAGTGCAGAAGGCGGCTCAGCAGTGCAATGGGCTGACAGCCTTGGACCGGGAGTCAGAAGCCTGGGTTCTGGTTGTAGCTCTGGCCCCTCCCTGTGATCTTCAACAAGCCACTTGCTTTCTCTCGTCTTCAGTTTCCTCAACTAGAAAATGAACAGCAGCTGAAATTATGTTGAAGATCCTTTTATACCTGAAAGAGTTTCTTCATAGAAATTTCTGTGGTGGGGAGGGGGCAATCTCTGTGTGTCTCAGTATACCTAAAGGTTGGGGTGGGGCGGAGTTGTGTGTCTCTGTAGAAAGGCGAAGGGGCAGTTCCTATCAGGACTGTGTATGTCTGAGCACATGTGGCTCTGTTTGGGATTACGTGTTTGTCTGTGAATGTGTGTGTGTGTTGGAGGGTTGTCTATTGTGTGTGGCTGTATAGGGTGTCTGTAGATCAAGATGTGTATACAGCTGCTTCTGCTATTGCTGGTTTGGGGGAGGGGACTGGAAAGCTGAGACTGAAAATCAAGAGGGAAGAGGTGAGGAAGGCCCACCCCTGGGGCTGGGCAGTGTAGACCTGCCACCGTGTGAAGAAAAATGAAAGCACAGATAGCCTAAGACTGCACAGGCCTGTGCCCACATACCTTATAGCACAGGCCCAGGTGGATCATCTCATGCTAACACCCCACATGTGCTGGTGGATCCACTCCCATGGATCCACTCACATGCTGCAGGCATGCAGTAGACTCACCCACAGCCCACTCTCTGGACACCAATCCTGGGAGGTGGGAGCTGGAATGGGGAGCAATGAGAGGAGGGAGTGAGACTGTTGGCTTAGGAAGGGTGGTACCTCTCCCTGCATCATACCCAGGAACTGCCAGCTCCAAAATATTGGGGTACAGCTCACCACCCCCCACTCCGCCAACCCATTCCTACCTCCTCTAGTGCAGGGACCCAAGTTAGATGATGAGAAAATGCCAAACAAAGGGAGGCAAGGACAGAGAAGGTACCTGCAGGACCCACAAGGCCCATACTGGCCCCCATCTGAACCCACCTCTCCCACCCAGATCAACATCCCCCCAACCCCTGTGCCCCCATCATCTGGACCCCAGAGCCAGCCCTCCCACTACCACCACCACCACCCCGGGGCTCCTTGGCTCACCTTTCTAGAACATGGGTACCTCCTCTTTTTGGGGGCTCATTTAGACTGCTGCCTTTGCTGCTGACTTGCAGTGTGACTCGGGCCCATTGTTCAATCTCTGTGGCCCTGAGACACCAGGGAAAATCTCCCCCCCCACAGGACATACTAGTTCCCTGGCAGGCAAGGGCTTCCAACTGAGGCAGTGCATGTGTGGCAGAGAGAGGCAGGAAGCTGGCAGTGGCAGCTTCTGTGTCTAGGGAGGGGTGTGGCTCCCTCCTTCCCTGTCTGGGAGGTTGGAGGGAAGAATCTAGGCCTTAGCTTGCCCTCCTGCCACCCTTCCCCTTGTAGATACTGCCTTAACACTCCCTCCTCTCTCAGCTGTGGCTGCCACCCAGCCAGGTTTCTCCGTGCTCACTAATTTATTTCCAGGAAGGTGTGTGGAAGACATGAGCCGTGTATAATATTTTTTTTAACATTTTCATTGCAGTATTGACCATCATCCTTGGTTGTGTATCGTGTAACACAAATAATGATATTAAAAGCATCAAACAAGCCAGCCTCAGCTCCCTCCCTGGGGTGTGGGCAAGGGGCAGATGGGCTGGGAAGCAGACAGAACTGGTCCTCTGGGCACACATGTTACTCCACCTCCACCTGTGGGTTCCCAGGCATGCCACTGACCTGCTGCATGACCCTGGGTGAGTCACAACCCCTCCGAACCTCTGTTTCTCTTCAACAGTGAGAAACCTGACCTAGAAGATCTCCAGAGGCCCTCTGAACTCTTAGAAATTGGGCTCTTTTGATAGGCTTGAGGCAGGAGGGGGTCAGGAGCAGGGAGGGAATTAGACCTCCTCACCTTCCCAGGGATGGGGCTGAGCCAGGTGATATCACAATGGGCAGTGCCCATCCTGGAGGGGGCATCAGTGTGGGGTGGGAGCAGGAAGGCTGTTGGGGAAGGAAGCTGAGAGATCCTCTGCAGGAGGGGATTATAGCAGCTAAGGGCACCTGCCAGGCTGGAGGTGTGGCCTGTCTAGGGGAAGGGTGGTCACTGATGTCCAGCAGGAGCCCTTGACAGGTAGAGCCCACCACGGCATCTCCAAGACCACACCATGTTCCTGTTCTCCCGTAAGACCAGGACCCCTATCAGTACCTACAGTGACTCCTACAGGGCTCCCACCTCCATCAAGGAGGTCTATAAGGACCCACCCCTGTGTGCCTGGGAAGCCAACAAGTTTCTGACTCCGGTAAGTGGGAGATTGGTGGGGAGGGGCAGGCCAGAGTGTATGGCCAGTCTGGATGCCTGGCAATGTATGTTTGTAATGATTTGTAGCTTTGTGTATGTGTGTGTTTTATTCATTTACCTAGGCACAGAATTTACAATGGTATGTAAAACAGCACAAAATCCTGCCTTCATGGAATTACATTAGGGTAGGAGGTAGGAACAGGCAGATAATAAGAAATAAACATGAGTTTTATAAATTCTTCAAAAATACTGTAAAGGAAATAAACAGAGTAGTGGAAGTGGAAATGGAAAGGGAGGGCTACTTAGGTCATGGAAAACCCTCTCTCAAGGTGACAATAAACTGAGACTGGAAAGATGAGATAGAACTAGCCACATGAAGACCTGAAAGAATAGAAGAGCTGAAAGTTCCAGACAAGTGATCACAAAGTGCAAAGGCCCTGAGGCTGCCTGTGGAATAGGCCGGAAACTGTCCTATATGCATGCCTTTATCTATATGTATCACAGTTTACTTGTGTCTGTGCTTGAAGATTGGTGGCCAGGTGGGAGGAAATCTGTGAGTCTAACTGTGACTCTGCCTAAGAGAATTTATCTGTGTGTACCATCCAACTTTGCTGAGTATCTTCATCTGTAGGCAACCCAGGATACAAAAGGGAAGGGCCAGCCCTTGCCTTTGAGGAGCTCACAGCAAACAAGTGAACAAAGTAGAGTTGCCCGATGTGGAACATGCACCAGCAGAGGTGGAGAGCCAGAAAGGGGAGAGCGCTGCCCAACCTGAAGGGCAGACCTACTGAGGGATCCAGGAGGAGGAGGCTTCCAGCAGAAGACAGTCAGGAGAAAAGGCAGCCTGTGGGCAGGGACCTACCAGAAACTGAAACTGTTAGAGCAGGAGAGTTTAGTCCTTGGGTGAGAGAGGAGTCTGCAGACCAAGAAGGGCCTCTCTGGCTATGTTGTGGAGCGTGGACATAAGGCTCCAGGTTTTTGAACCTGGGAGGGAGAGTCATGGTTCAATTGTGAGTTAGGCCACTCTGGCCACAGTGTCAGGGAATTGCAGGGGCTGGGGTTGAGGGCAGGAAGGCCAGCGAGGGGTGAACAGATGAGGAAGGAGGATGTAGGTGGGAGATAAGGAGATTGTCACAATGAAAAAAGGAATTCGTTGAATAGGAGAGAATTTTTAAAATAATTTATTTTGTCTAACTCCAAAATAAATATACGCTGAATGTAGAAAATGCAGATAACTCAGAGAAGCACAAAGAAAAAAGGTCTAAAATCCTACTACCTAAAATTACCATTGTTAATATATTATCGTATGCCCTTTCAGGAAGCAAATATTGTTTATTATAAAAATAAATAAAATTTATTACAAAATGGTGTATTTAAGGAATCTTATTGAAAATTTAGGTACTTTATAAAATTTTGCTAGTATAATCATTCTTATACATGTATCTTTGTACACATTTCCAATTATTCCCTTAGGATAAATTACTAGACATGAAATTGTTAGGAGAAAAGATATACACATTTTTAAAACTTTTGCTATATACCTCAAATTGCCATAATAAGTAAGGGTTGTAACAATTTACATTTCCACAAGCAAAATATGAGAGTGCCTGACTCCATACTCAATAGAAGGGAATTTTAAAAAGTAGATGAACAGATTTTGGTCACCATATGGATGGTAAGGTGAGAGATTAGGGTGACCCTTGAGTTTTTGGCTGTGGCAGCTGGAGGAATGCTAATGCTATCAACTGAGGTTTGGAATAACAGATTAGAGATTTGGAGTTCATTTGAGAACAAAAATATTTGAGGATATCCAGGAAAAGATGTTTGGCAAGTAGTTAGATATACTTATCTGAAGCAAAGGAAAGAGGTCTGGGTTATAGATAGAGATCTTGAAGTCATCATCATATAAATGGTGGGTGAAGTCATAGGAAGAGATGAAATTGCCAAAGAAGAGAGAGAAAATGGCCAAGGACATAACTTTGGAGAATATAAATATTTAAGGGTAGGTAAAGGAAAAAAAGCCATAAAAGAAGACAGAGAATTATTGCCAGAGAACTAGGAGGAAAATCAAAGATAAACCAATAAAGACAGCATTATTAGACAAAGATCAGTGTCAAGTGTTAGTGACAGAGAAATCTCTCGGATGTAGTAACTCTTGGTAACTTAGCCAGACAGCTTCAATGAATGGCGAGGAGTGAAAGTCAGATAGCAGTGGTATTAAGAATGAAGGAAAAGCCAGGCATGGTGTCTCAGGCCAGTAATCCAAGCACTTTGGGAGGTTGAAGCAGACAGGAAGATTGCTTGAGCCTACGAGTTCAAGACCAGCCTGGGCATCATGGTGAAATCCTGTCTCTACCAAAAATACAAAGATTAGCCAGGTGCAGTGGCATGTGCCCATAGTCCCAGCTACTCGGGAGGCTGAGATAGAATCACTTGAGCCCAGGAGGTTGAGGCTGCAGTGAGCCTTGATCACACCACTTTACTCCAGCCTGGATGACAGAGCGAGGCCCTGTCTCTTAAAAAAAAAAAAAAAGAATGAAGGAAAAGCTGCTGCTTTTGGCAGTATGGTGGTCTAGAAACTCTGAAGGGCCCTGTTGCTTCAAAACAACTTAAGTTCTGAATAAAAATTAATTTTTATTTTGTGTTGGAGTCTCATGGAGATGAGTGGTAAGTATAGTTAAGAAGACAGGATTGTCCTGAGGACAAATGCCATTATTAGCACTATAAACAGGCATTTAAGCCTTAAACTAGCTGAAAGATAGAGGAATTAAATCTGTACATTCCAAACTTAACCAGAAAGTTCCATGTCTCTGCCCCCCAACACACACCCCACACACACATATTTATCTTCAATGGCGGTAAACATCCTCAGTGTAGGTTTCCAGGTATCCTTTGAAGAACGGCCAATTAAACATGAGCTCACAATAAGAGATAAAAGAAAACAAACCACCATATTACAGAATCTGCAGACACAACAAACAATAAACTTAAACTCCCAAGAATTTCAGATATTAGAATTAACAGTTAAATAATATAGAATAATTGGGCCGGGTGCAGTGGCTCACAGCTGTAATCCCAGCACTTTGGGAGGCCGAGGTGGGTGGATCATGAGGTCAGGAGATCGAGACCATCCTGGCTAACACGGTGAAACCCCATCTCTACTAAAAATATAAAAAATTAGCCGGGCATGGTGGTGGATGCCTGTAGTCCCAGCTACTCAGGAGGCTGAGGCAGGAGAATGGTGTGAACCCAGGAGGCAGAGCTTGCAATGAGCCAAGATCATGCCACCGCACTCCAGCCTGGGTGACAGAGCAAGACTCCATCTCAAAAAATAATAATATAGAATAATTATGATTTTTTAAAAATGTGAAATCTGGCCAGGCATAGTGGCTCATGCCTGTAGTAATCCCAGTACTTTGGAAGGCTGAGACAGGAAGATCACTTGAGGCCAAGAGTTCAAGACTAGCCTAGGCAACATAGTGAGACCTTGTCTCTATTTAAAAAATAAAAATACGAAATCATTAAAATAAGCAAGCAATAAGAGATTATTAAAAAATGAGTAGGCAAATGTAAAAAGGAACTGAATAGAATTTTTAGAAATGAAAAATGTATTTGCTAAACCAAAAATTCAGCAGATGGATTAAAGAGTAGAGTCAACACAGCTGAAAAGTCCAGTGAAATGAAAAATAGACTGAAAAAATTTTCCCAGAACGCAGCACAGAGAGACAAAGAGATGAAAATATGAAAGAAACATTAAATGATATGAAAGACAGAATGAGAAGATCCCACAAACATCTAATGGGAATCTCAGAAGGAAAGAGCATAAAGAACAGTTATTATTTAAAAAGAAAAAGGCTCAGAATTTTCCAGAACTAACAAAATAAATGAATCCACAAATAGAGAAAAAAAATAGAAGAAATTCCACAGTTAGGCACCTCACAATGAAACTGCAGTTCACCAGCTTAAGAGATGACCTTAAAAACAGACAAAGAAAAAAAATTCTCGAAGTGTCATCCTTTCAAAAACCAAGGAAAGATAAGACATTTACAGGAAAACAATGAAAATGTTTATTACCCTCAGGTCTATATACAATAAAGGAACTTCTAAAGGATATACTCTGGGGAGAAGGAAAATGATCACAGAAGGAAAGTCTGAGATGCAAGAAGGAATGGTAAGGAACTGATAAACATGAGGTAAATTTAAGCAAACGTTATCTATAGAAAATAATTATAATGGCTTTTAATCTGTAATATTTAAAGGAAGAACTAAAATATTACAAAACTATCATTTAAGTTGGAACAGGACAGAGTTAGGTGTTCCTAGATTCTCCCATTGTTCTAAAGAGAGCATAAGACATAGTTTTGTACTGTCAACTAGCTGGAACTATACTTGCAAGAATTCCCTTTCCTAAATGTTTCCTAATTGGCCATGAGAGAAATCTGCATGATATTTGGAAAGAATAAATGAAAGAACAGCCATTTTTACCCTCTGAAGATTGACGTGGGGTACCAAGCACTGTGGCACCTTATGCACAATGTTGCTGATTTAGTAGTTCACCTTATTGCCATAGAGCAGCATTTGGCTACAACCCCTCTAGCTCCCACTGGATCTCCTTCAACCTCTCTGGGTCCTGGGCCAGGTGTATGTACAATTCCATGGCAAAGGGCACCAGCTTGTCCTGAAGGCCATCCATATCATCATTGTTGTAGGCAGTGAGACAGATGCAAATTCGACTTTGTTCTCCTCATGAGTTCCAGTTTGTCCTTGCTCTTCCCCACTTCATGTCCAGTTCTGCTTCCTGATGCCAGCCACTGACTTCAGGCTTAAAAATAGATGCAAAGACAACAGCTTTGCAGAGTTCTTAACCAGTATCCACAATTGTGTAAAGTCTCATCTCTCAAGTAAATCCCTTATGCTATATCACTAAAAGTGGTTTCTCTGATCCAAATTTGACTGATACAGATACAATAACAAAAAACTGAGTAAGCTAAAAAGTAACAGACAAAAGAGATTTTCAGATTAAACACACACACACACACACACACACACACACACACGGTTTTTAGATGGATCACCACATAAATGACAAAGTTTCAATTCACCAGGAAGATATTATAATTACAAACTTGTATTGGCCTGATAGAATTAATAGAAGGACCTGTAATTCTAGCACTTTGGGAGGCCCAGGTAGGAGGATCATTTGAGCCCAGGAGTTTAGGACCAGCCTGGACAACATAACAAGACCCCATCTCTACAAAAAAATTTAAAAATTAGCTGGGTGTGATGGTGTGTGCCTACAGTCAGGAAGCTGAGACAGGAAGATGGCTTGAGCCCAGGAGTTTGAGGCTGCAATGAGCCACGATCACACCACTGTGCTCCAGCCTGGGTGACAAAGTAAGACCCTGTCTCAAAAAACAAAACAAACAAACAAACAAACCATGCCAGCCTGAGCAACAAAGCAAGATATCATCTCTACAAAATGTTTTAAAAATAAAAATAAAGAATTACCAGATGGAGAAATTGGCAAAATATACCATATTAGATTGTAACACTACAATTACTGATTGGTCAAGCAGACATCCCCAACCCCCAAAAAAAGCAAAGATCTAAAACTCTCGCAATATAATTAGTATACTTGATTTATTTAACATAAATAAAGCCCTGAACCCAACTACTACAGATTTAAACATACAAGGAACATGATAAAAGTGGACCAAGTACTAAGTCATAAAACAAACATAAACAGAATTCTAAGATTGACATCATACAAAATAACTGTCTCTAACCTCAATGTAATAAAATTACAGATCAACAACAAAAAGATAACCAAAATCCTTTGTGAGTTTAAAATTTTGAAAACCACCATTCTAAATAATGGGTCAAATAAGAAATCAAAACAAATGGAAATATACTCAGAACTGAAAAGACTGCATATCAAAACTTGTGGGGTACAATAAAAGCTGTAGAGGAAAACCTATATCCCTAAATCCTTGTCTAAAAAAATGTGAAACATAAATGACCTGAGCATCAGACTTAACAACTTATGGGGAAAAGAATAAATGTGAAAAATAGAAGAATGGAGATAATGAAAATAAGAGCAAAAGTTAAACTAGAAAGCAAAGATTCAACAAGATGAACAGGCAAAAGTTGTTTCTTTGATGAGGCTCATAAAATAGACAAATCTCTAGAGAATTAAGAAAAACAAGGCACAGACAAATAAAAGAAGGGTCTAACAATAGATGTAGAAGAAATTAAAAGTAAGAGAACGTTCTGAACAACTTTATGCTAATAAAATTGAAAACAAATGGACAAACACAAGAAAAATAAAACTTGCCAAACCAATTCAAGAATTGGAAAAAATCTGAATGCTCCTATAACGATTTAAAAAATTAAACCAGTAATTTGAAAACTTTCCACAAAGAAAACACCCAGCATAGATAAACAGTTACATTCCTCAAATGCTCGAAGAACAGTTGTTTTAATCTTATACAAACTCTGTCAGGGAACAGAAAAAAAGAGGATGCTTCCTAACTCATTCTATGAACCCAGCATAACTTTGATACAAAATTAATCAAGAAGGCCAGGTGCAGTGGCTCACACCTGTAATCCTAGCACTTTGGGAGTCTGAGGCAGGAGGATTGCTTGAGCCCAGGAGTTCAAGACCAGCCTGGGCAACATAGTGAGACCCCCGTCTCTACAAAAAAATTTAAAAATTAGCCAGGTGTGGTGGCACACACCTATGGTCCCAGCTGCTGCGGAGGCTGAAGCAGGAGGAATGCTTGAGCCCACAAAAAAAAATTAATCAAAAGTGTATAAGAAAATAAAAGTATACAGTCCAATTCATTCATAAATACAAAAGCAAAAATTCTAAATAAAATATTAGAAAACCGTATCCGGTAGTGTATAAAAAATAATTTGTGATGGTTACATTGTATTTATTTCATAAATGCAAGGATAGTTTAACATTAGAAAAATAAATATCATTCATCACATTAACAGATTCAAGAAAAAAAACAGAAGATCATTTCAAAATATGCAGAAATGGACATGAGATCTTAGTAAAAATTCTTGAACTGTACAGTTTGAGTGAAATTTATGGTATGTAAATTATACCTCAATGAAGCCATTTTAAAAAGATGCAGAAATAGCAGTTACTAAAATTTATTAACCATTTATAACTAAAAAAGAAAAACTTAGCAAATATAACCTGATAAAAAATATATACAAAAAATATACAGCCAACATTATTCTGATTAACTGTTAGAAGCATTCTTTTAAAAATTGGAATCAAGGCAAGGATGTTCACTACTTCTATTCAGCATTGCACTGGAGGTCCTGGCAAGGACACCACAAAAAAAAAAGTAAAAAGATTTAAGAAATGGAAAGGAAAAAAACAAAACTGTCATTATTTGCAGATAATACAACTGCATATATAGAATCTACAAATTGGCTGGTCCAAGGTAGTGAGTTATCTCAATTGATTGTTCACAGTCAGTTACAGATCAAACTCCTTGTTCCACTCTTTCTCTCCTCACTAGTGTGTTGGACTAGTCTTAAAAAAAAAAAAAAAAATCTACACACATTATTAGAATAATTGGATAAATATTAAAAGTCAATCACATTTCTTAACACAAATATTTAGGAAGCATAATTTTTAAAATATACATCATTCTAGCATCAAAAAATAAAGATAATTAGAAATCTAACAATGTATGTAAAACTATATGGATAATATTATAAAACTTTATTGAATACTTTTTTAAAAATACTTAAATAAATGGAGAGATATAACATGCTCACGAATGGGAATAGTTACTATCATAAAGATTCAGTGCCACCGGGCGTGGTTCTCAGCACTTTAGGAGGCTGAGGCAGGCAGATTGCTTGAACTCAGGAGCTCAAGACCAGCCTGGGCAATATGGTGAAACCTCATCTCTACAAAAAATACAAAAATTGGCAGGGCATGGTAGTGTGTGCCTGTAGTCCCAGTTACTAATTAAAATCCCAAAAGGATTTTTTGAAGACTTCAATAAACTTTTTAAAATTTATAGAGAAGGGCAAAAGTTCAAGAAATAGCTGTAACACACTTAAAGAAGATGAGTTATCCAAACTCCTGACAGATTAAATATGGAAAGTAAAACTTTTGTGTTTACAAGGAGATACAGAACATTGTCTCCATTATCTGAGAGTATGGTTTAATTTCTTAAATAATTCACAGAAAGCACTGACCACACAAGAAGAGGTTCATCAAGACACTATAAAGAAAAGTAAAAGCCAGGTGCAATGGTTCACACCTGTACTTTGGGAGTCTAAGGCAGGAGGATCACTTGAGCTCAGGAGTTCAAGACCACCCTGGGAAACACAGGGAAACATCGTCTCTATAAACAAATTTAAAAAAAAATCAGCTGGGTGTGGTGGTGTGCACCTGTAGTCCCAGCTATTCGGTAGGCTAAGGCAAGAGGATAGCTTTAGCCCAGGAGGTAGAGACTGCAGTGAACTGTGATTGTGCCACTGCACTCCAGCCTGGGCAACAGTGAGACCCTGTCTCAAAAAAAAAAAAAAAAAAAGAAAGAGAGAGGAAAGAAATGTAAAGACAGAAGCCACAAACAGAAAAGATAAATATCTTTTATATACATTTGCAACATGTATAGGTGCCAATAGTAAAGGACTAATATACAGAATATATAAAGAATTATAATTCTCTTGGTTAAAATTGAACACATGTTTTGACTCCCTCCTAAAACCCCTCTAAAACTACAGTAAATGAATATTTAAGAGATAAACTCACAAGGAGAGTGAGAAGGAAGAGGCAATGGCGACACAATTTTGGAAGCTGGAAAAGATGATAAATAAGTAGTAACTGACTTAGCAGATCGGAGAAAGCTGAATCTAAAGCAAGCAATGGAAAAGCCAAGCCATAATTCAACTTAAAACTGTAGAATTTTCAAAAGGCTCAGGAACTGGTAATCCTAGTCTTCTCTGGAACTGAGGATGGGACAGGGCCAAGGCAAAAATAAGGATTATTTGAAAGCTGTTAAGAAGCAGTTAGGCCAGGTGAGGTGGCTCACGCCTGTAATCCCAGTACTTTGGAAGGCTGAGGTGGGTGGACCACCTGATGTCAGGAGTTTGAGACCAGCCTGGCCAACATGGTGAAACCCCGTCTCCACTAAAAATACAAAAAAAAAAAAAAAATTAGCTGGGAGTGGTGGCAGGCGCCTGTAATCCCAGCTACTTGGGAGGCTGAGGCAGGAGAATCACTTGAACCCGGGAGGCAGAGGTTGCAGTGAGCCAAGATTGTGCCATTGCACTCCAGCCTGGGTGAGAAGAGCGAAACTCCATCTAAAAAAAAAAAAAAAAAGCAGTTAAACTCACTAATCACCCCTTCTATTTCATGCCACAGGGTAACTGCCCACCTCTGTCTCTGCTAAAGTCAGGAGACTAATTTTTGGCAAGGACCTCAGGACTGGGGATACCAATTGAGGACAGGGTACCATTTTGAAAACAAGTGAACCCCCATATACTGAATGCTAAAATCCCCAGCGCAATCTTCAGCACTAGATTCTCAGAACACTGGCAGCTAAGTCATTACCCTCAGGCCAAAGGTTGAAGGAGTCTTTTCTGAAGAATCTCATCAGCCAAGAGGAAAGACCTACAGATATTGACATTAGAGTTTGCAAAATATTGTCCAACGAGATCATCCTACAGTGATGCTGATGGTGGACAAAGCCTACACACAGCTCAAAGCCTTCAATAAGCTTTTATAATCTCCTACTTATCAACAGGAGCAGACAAAGAGGAAACATCTGAGGAAAGCATCTAACAGAAAAATTGACGATGTCTATGAATTCTTCTAAATGACTGTTTTGTTTGTGTGTGTGTGTATCTGTGTTTAGTGTGTAAGTGGGTGTATCTGAGTGTGTATGTATGAATATACACCTATATGTGCATCTATGGGTGTATCTGGGTACACAGGGGTGTGTGTGTGTGTGTAAAGCTCGGAGAAATGCTGAGTCACGGGACCCATGCACCCACATCTCCCATATTCTGCCCGCCACCCACGTAGAAGTGTGACTGTGCAGGAGCTGCTCACAGAACAATGTCAGCTGGGCACAGTTGATCCCAGAAGCCCCTGAGCAGAGAGGTTTTGAGGATGGTTGGAGCACTTGGAGCAACCAGGTCTCAGCCTTGGCCAAGAGAAGGGCCAGGTGTGGTGGCTCATGCCTGTAATCCCAGCACTTTGGGAAGTCAAGGTGGGAAGATCCCTTGAGTCCAGGAGTTCAAGACCAGCCTGGGCAACATGGTGAAACTCCATCTCTATGAAAAATACCAGGTGTGGTGCACATGCCTGGGAGGCTGAGGCGGGAGGATCACTTGAGCCTGGGAGGTTAGGGCTTCAGCCATGATGGTATCACTGCACTTCAGCCTGGGTGGCAGAGTGAGACTTTGTCTCAAAAAAAAAAAAAAAAAAATCATAAGGATCAAGTGTGGGTGATAGCATCACTGTCCCAGCACCTCACTGCCCGTTATGAGGAAGAAGCCCTATCTGACTTTGCTGGGTGTCCCACCCCTGTGACCCAGCTGCCTTTTCAGACCAGCTGCCTGCAGATACCTGTGGGTCTACAACTAACTTGTCATTCAGCCCTCAGCTGAGGAAAAAGGGGCCCCGAAGGGAGGCCCTGATCCAGGCGTCACAGATCTAGTCAGACAAGAAGTGACAGGGTAAGTTGAGGTGAACCCCAAAAAGCACAGGGGCCCAGGGCCTGGACCAAGAACAGGAAAAGTGTCAAGGTAGGGTGAGGACCAGGCCAAATTGAAGGTCAGGGTCAAAGGCAACACTGGTGTCAGGGCCAGAGCCACAGCAGAATCAGGGCCAGGTTGCAGTCAGGAAATTACTTTTTTTTTTTTTTTTTTTGAGACGAAGTCTTGCTCTGTCGCCAGACTGGAGTGCAGTGGCACGATCTCAGCTCACTGCAACCTCTCCCTCCTGGGTTGATTCTCCTGCCTCAGCCTCCCGAGTAGCTGGGACTATAGGAGCTCGCCACCATGCCCAGCTAATTTTTGTATTTTTAGTAGAGACGGGATTTCACCATGTTAGCCAGGATAGTCTCCATCTCTTGATCTCGTGATCCGCCTGCCTCGGCCTCCCAAAGGGCTAGGATTACAGGTGTGAGTCACCACGCCCAGCCGGGAATTACATTTTAAAGTAGGTGCCCCTCCAGCACTGTCCTTCATTTTCTTTAAGATGCTAGATTCCCAGAGAGCCTTTCCTGTCCAAGACACCTACATAAGGCAGCCAGCTCCCAGGGTAGCCCTCTTTTCTGAGACTGGGGCCTGATGCACTGTTGGCAGAGACCCAGCCCTGCTCCCAGGCAGCATACAGTCTAGGAGAAAAAGGACAGGTATATGTAGCTCTGACCTTCATGAGCTCCCCACCAGGAAATGGCAGAAATGAGAAAGTCAGAAAACTACTCTGACGTAAGGCCACCGCTCGGCCCCAAGCCCTAGCCTTGGATGAAAAGAAAGGAGGAAAGGGTAATTCAGACAAGAGCACTGTGCAGAGGAGCCAAGGCTAGCATGGGAATCCCTCTGACATGGGGAGGGGGGTTGGGAGACCCACCTGGGCTGACCTTCTCAAGAGAGGCTGGATCTAGTTCCAGCAAGACCCCAGGGCTGGGGTCTCTGTGCCCCTAACCACTTCTCTCCTCTCCCCTTGCCCAGGGTCTGACTCATACCATGGAGCGACATGTGGATCCCGAAGCCCTGCAGAAGATGGCCAAATGTGCTGTACAGGACTACACTTATAGGGGGTCCATATCAGGCCACCCCTACTTGCCTGAGAAGTACTGGCTTTCTCAAGAGGAAGGTAAGGCCTCACCCTTTGCTGACCCCTAAAATGACCCCCAACCTGAACCCAACCACCTGGATCGTGACCTCTATCCTTTTTTTTTTTTTTTTTTTTTTTTTGAGACGGAGTTTCGCTCTTGTTGCCCAGTCTGGGTGCAATGGCATGATCTCGGCTCACTGCAACCCACTTCCACCTCCCAGGTTCAAGTGATTTTCCTACCTTAGCCTCCTGAGTAGCTGGGACTACAGGCATGTGCCACCAGGCCCGGCTAATTTTTGTATTTTCAGTAGAGATGGGGTTTCACCATGTTGGCCAGGCTGGTCTCGAACTTCTGACCTCAGGTGATCTGCCCGCCTCGGCCTCCCAAAATGCTGGGATTACAGGCCTGAGCCACCATGCCCAGCCTCCATCCTGATTCTATGTCAACTTTATCTCCACCCATGACCTAGATTTCTTCCCTAACCACCCCCTCCACCAACCACCTGACCTGACCCTGGCCCTGGAGGAGATGACCTAGGCCCTGCTTTTTGGGGTTCTTGTCGGTGGAAAAAAAAACCTGGAAGGGCCCTGGGTCCCATCCTTAGCGAGTTGGAGAAAGGATTAACCTCCCACAGACAGATCCCTCCAAGTGCATTCCAGATACCATCTCCTCCCATCTTCCCAGCCATCCTGCTCCCATCAGCTCCCTCCACCTCTCCTGCATCCCTCTGCCCCACCACACCTCTTTCCCTCAACCTGGAACCTTCTCTAGTTTCTTCCCAACTAAAAATTATCTCTTGCTCCTGTTCTCAACAGCCTAGGTTCTCGGAAACATGGTCCATACTCACTGTCTCTATTTCCTCACCCTTTCTTATACCTTATGAGAAACTGTCTTTCTCATTTGCTTGGATATAATATAATCTGTCTGGCTGTACATTCGAAAAGAGCCGAGTCTGGTCTTATTCACAGCTGTGCCCCTCCATCGAGCACAGCACCAGGCTTCATAAGTCTTTGTTGAATGGACTGAGAATTCCCAATGGAAGTTGGGAATGTGCATCTCCTATGATGAAACAATAAATTGCTCTTGCATGGCTCTGATTACCAAATCCACAGGACTCTGCAGTCTTTACCCTCTGAGACCTTTACCCTCCTAGACCAATGAATTGCACTCTTCTGACCACTCTCTACTCGTTTTGTTGTTGATGTTGTTTTGTATGTTAATCCTCCAGCACACAGGCTATGACCACACTCTACTTCTTGAAACAACTTCCTCCTCAGCTTCTCTGATGCCTCCCTTTCCTGTGCATCCACTGTGGAAACATGGGGTTCCTCAGGGTGTTATCCTGCACCCTCTTCTCCCCTTGCTCCTCCTCCAAGGCCATTTGATTTAACACAAGCCTTTAATTACTGACAGCTTCAAATCCTAATTTCCAGATTTGTCCTCTCATCAGAATTCCACTCTTCTTCATATGCTTATAGTCATCTTGATCTGGATGTCCCCAAACACCTCAGTTTCAGTATGTGCAAACTGCCATCCCCGAACTCCAAATCCCAGCACTGCACCCCTCCCCTCAGACAGCTGCTCTTCGCTAGGGCTTCCTCCACACCGTGTCGCATATGTATTCTTTCAGACTGTTGGATCATGGAGGGCCTTGTAGGACAGGCTTAGGTGACTGGGGGCTAAGGCAGACAAACCCTATAGGGTTTTAAGTAGGAGGGTGTCTTGGTCAAATTTTCATTTGTGAAAAGTACCACAGGTGCTATGTCAAGGCTGGATTATAGGATTTCAAAGGTGAGGCAAGGATAACAGTAGAATAATCATAATAGTTTTTTATGTGCCAAGCATCATTCTAAATGTCTTACATATACTAACTCACTTAAACCTCACAGCAACCCTGTGAAGTAAATGGTACTATTATCCCCATTTTAAAGTTGGAGAAACTGAGACACATCAAAATTAATTAATTCAGTCAGGGTCACACAGATAATAATTGTAAAACTGAAATTTAAACACAAGCAGTCTATCTGCAGAGATAGGTATCTATTAACCAAGACATTATATTGTCTTCTGGTTAAGGTGCTGCAAAGATATGGAAGTGAGATCATGGGGCACTGGAAGAGGAAGTAGATTCAAGTTATTTATCTATTTATTGAGACTGAGTCTTGATCTGTCACCCAGGCTGGAGTGCAGTGGCATGACCTTGGCTCACTGAAACATCTGCCTCCCTGGTTTGAGCTATTCTCATGCCTCAGCCCCCTGAGTAGCTGGGTTTACAGGCGCACACCAACCATGCCCAACTAATTTTTGTATTTTAGTAGAGACAGGATTTTGCCATGTTGGCCAGGCTGGTCTCGAACTCCTGACCTCAAGTGATCTGCCTGCCCTGGCCTCCCAAAGTGCTAGGATTACAGGCATGAGCCACCTTGCCTGGCCAGATTCGAGTGATTTTGAAGGAGGCAGAATAGGCAAACCTTAGAGCCTAGAGTAGAAGATGAGAGAGAGGGAGGAATTGGGAAGAGGCTCCTTGTCCAGGCTGGCTGATTCAAAAAGGGTAGTGGCAGGATGAAAAGTGGCTGGCACAGTGGATCCAGACTAAACTCAGAAGGTTGCCTTAGATGGGACATGGGCTGCATCTCAGTGTTTAAGACAAGTGTAGGCCCGGCTGGGCTTGGGGTCTCTGGCTTGAGGACAGTCTGTGAGGGTCAGCTTTGTGCTGGGAATCGGAAGAGAAACATGTAGGGGATCTCAGATCCTGGAGTAGAGTAAGAAGTAACACTATTTGACATCTCCACCCCTATTATCCAGCAGACAAATGCAGCCCAAACTACCTGGGCAGTGACTGGTACAACACATGGAGGATGGAACCTTACAACAGCAGCTGCTGCAACAAGTATACCACCTACCTTCCTCGGCTGCCTAAGGTATCTGTTGCACCCAGCACAGACGTCTGGGGACTGGGACACGCATACCCCACCACCTCCCAAACTACAGTGACTGATATTTCACCATTAGGTCCTCATTGCTTTCCCAACAAATGCCCCAGAGCTCTTCCGCATCTGTGAAACTAGAGTTTGTATTTTTTTTTTTTTTTAGATAGAGTCTCACTCTATCACCCAGGCTGGAGCGCAGTGGCGCAACCTTGGCTCACTGCAACCTCTGCCTCCTGGGTTCAAGCAATTCTGCTACCTCACACTCCCGAGCAGCTGGGATTACAGGCATGCGCCATCACATCTGGCTAATTTTTGTATTGTTAGTAGAGACGGGGATCTTGCCATGTTGGCCAGGCTGGTCTTGGACTCCTGGCCTCAAGTGATCCACCTGCCTCGGCCTCCTAAAATGCTGGGATTACCGGCATGAGCCACTGCACCTGGCCGGGTTTGAATTTTTTTAGTTGAAAAAGGAACCCAAAAGTAGGGCTGTGCTGGGCCCCTGGCTCTCAATCTCTGGGGATTGGGTGCCCTGGGCTCCAATCCCTGGCTGGGCTCTGTAGGGACATGACTGGTGTGCACTCCTTGATATACTACCTTTCCGAAGCTTGCCAGCTGGCCCCTCCCCATATAGTCTGGCCTCTGTGATACTGGGGCTAGCCAAGGAGTCAGTGATACAATGAATCTCCCTGCTCCACCTTCTCCTCCTTTGTGATGTGAGCACAGACGGAAGGAGAAAGACTAAGGCTACTCAATAGCAGTGCAGATACAGGAGAGTCTTCCAAGGACATAGGAGAAGGTCCAGCCACGGCCGCAAACTCAAGGGCACCTGAGAGGACCCAAAACCAGAGCCGGGGCTCTTAACTGCAGGCTGATGGCTGACCCTGGGTTGATGGAACCCTTTTGAATTAGAACTTCCTCAAGAATCGAATCTTTCACAAGTTCTCCGGAATGACAAGCAATATTGAAAACCCCCTATTAGAGAGACACCCAGACACAGCTAAACAGAGTCAGCTAGACAAAGAGGGGTAAAATCAAAGGCAAACGCTGAGACAGGGTTGTCACAGGCCCAGGAGCCAAACCCCATCCACCTTCAGCCCTTCCTACCCCACCCCGCCCCTGTTGGCGATGTAAAAGCGTTGCCCGGTGACAGCCGCCAACACAGAGCCCTGGAGAGGTGGGGAGCTGCTGAAGGGCGGGAGAAGTTGCGGCGTGGCGATAGGTCTGGGTGTTCTGGGAGGACCCCTAAAAGGGAGCAGCTCTGCCAGGTCAGAGCTTGAGGTAGCATGTGTGCCGCTTCCAGGAGGCCAGGATGGAGACAGCAGTTCGAGGAATGCCCTTGGAATGCCCTCCTAGGCCGGAGCGGCTCAATGCCTACGGTAAAGAGTGGTAGTGGGGCGTTGGAAAGAACGGGTGGAGAGGGTTGGGGAAGGCCGGGAGGAGGGCGGGATGGGTACCTGAAGGACGGGGAGGAGGCCGAGGGTCCTGGAGAGGGTGGAACCCTGAATCTATCCGTCCTGGCTTTTGTCTCCGCCTCACTCTGTCCGTGACTCGGCCTCTTCCCATCCCTGTGCATCTGTCTTTGGGTCTCCTGCGCTGGGGACCCGCGGGAGCAGAGCGCGAAGTGATGGTGAACATGCTGAACTCACTGTCGCGGAACCAGCAGCTGCCGCGGATCACGCCCCGATGCGGGTGCGTGGACCCGCTGCCCGGCCGCCTGCCCTTCCATGGTTACGAAAGTGCTTGCTCGGGCCGCCACTACTGTCTGCGCGGGATGGACTACTACGCCAGCGGGGCGCCCTGCACCGACCGCCGCCTGCGGCCTTGGTGCCGGGAGCAACCGACTGTAAGGTTCGCAGGGCTCCGCCCGCCTCAGCCGGGCTCCACCCCACACAAGCCCCGCCCCAGAACCCCGCCCCCTTCCAGCCCGGCCAGCTTCCGTGCAGGCCCCCAGCCTGCTCTAGCCCCGCGCTGCACGCTCTCGAGGCCCTGCCGTGTCCCGCCCTCGGGCTCCAAGGCCTGAACTAACAACTGAGGCGGGAGAACCAGCACGAAGGTTACTCCAAGTCCCCGACCCCTGTCCCTCTCAAACTGGGCTCAAGGTCAACCTGGCCTCTCTATATGCTCTGGAGGTCCCGTCAGAGGGTTTTTGAGGAAGAAACCCCGCACATCAGTCGCATCCTCTTCCCCCATCTCCTTGGCCCTGCCCCCTTTCCTGGACTCCTGGCCCTAGAGACGCAGGTTCTAGCCTGTGGAGTGCCCTGCGTTCTCAGAAAAATGTCCTCTCTTGCTGGTCCCCCGTCACCGTCGGTAGTGGGTGCGGTCATTCCTGGGGGCTACGTGAGCCGGGAAATGGTGACCACTTTACCAGAATGGCTCTGGCCTCCTCGGATCCCGCACCACCTGCGGAGGTAGGCACCCTCGCGTGTTACTGCTAAGAAAACTGAGGCCCGAGCGCACAGCTGGAGCCCAGACTGCAGCTCGGCATTCGTCCTGCACGCGGCGGCAGCCAAGCCTGGGAGAACTTTGTCCGCGGTAGCCCAGAGAGCTGTGCAGTGGGGGTCCATAGTGATCCCCCGCCCCTCTCCAGGCCGAGAGAGCCTGATTCATTGTGCAAGACTGAGTCTTATCCCTCTCAAGGGCATAGGGGAGTGGGAAAGTGTCTGAGCCTCTAGGAAGCTCAGAAATGATGCCTCGTCCTACTGCTGGAGAAATTGCTGTCCAGTGGCGGGGATCCGGTGGTTCCAGGTCCTCAACGCCCGGAGCCCGACCTTCCCCAGGGTCCAGCGCTCTTTCCTCAACGGCAGAAATGAGGCCTTGCCGGGAGGGAGTCTTCCAAGGGGGGTTCCCGAATCGGTGCTGCAGTGGGGGTTTTGAAGGGTGAGGAAGAAGGAGAGGAGGATTTCCGAGCCTTGGGACGGACACCTGAAGCGCCGCCCAGGGGCTTGGTCTAAATCGGGGGATGAGAGTCAAAAGGCCCAACCCCTCCATGCTCGCGGCTTCCTCCTTCTCCAGATGTGTACCTCCCTACGAGCACCGGCCCGGAATGCAGTGTGCTGTTACAACTCCCCCGCCGTCATACTACCCATATCCGAACCTTAGGTAAGTCTAACGCGCACACACTCATTTGCACACGCACCCTGAAGGCTTGGTGAGGCGGGGCTGGGGGAGGATGTCTGGTAGACGGGATGAGAACGCTCCGCGGTGCACTGACAGGCACATACCACGAGGGGGAGCTAGTGGCATGGAGCAGTCAAAGGTGGTAAGGACAGAGGACCTTAAGAGAGGGCTAGGAGGCCGGTATTGAAGGGTTACAGGTTGGCAGTGGGCTTACAGCCAAAGGCGTTGGTTCAGAGCTTGAAGTAATGAGTAAGAAGTCGATGTTAAGGAGGAAATATTGGGTATCAGCAACTTAACAGTAGAACCTAAGGTCAGGAGGTCAGTATTGGAACCCAAGGTCAGTGCTATAGACAAAGTGTAGGGATAAGGTTAGCATTGCAAACTGGAGTCAGATATTCACTTTGACATATGAGGATCCAAAACGGCTGACCCATCTCTTCCTGTAGATGGGACACAAGTCACTTCAAGAAGTCTGGTGGTCCCCAGAGAAACAACTATGTTATCCATCCTGAGTTTGTGTCTGAGACCTATCCCGACTATCGTTGCTGGTAGAGCCTGGGCTTGCTGTGCCAAGGGGGCAGAGCAATAAATAAACTCTTCAACCCCAAAGCCTGCCTCCTGTGTCCTTACCCAGCAGGATCTGGAAGTGAAGGGCCAGTCACTCAGGCCTCTATCAAACCCCTTCAACTGAGATGCAATTTTTCTCAAAGTCACCCTTCCCTGGGCCCTTCCAACCCCATCATCTCAGTACATCCCTGAGTGCCCTCCTGACACAGAACAGTAGCCTTATATCCAGCTGCTATCCTCCTCCCCTGAATCCCAGAGCCCAAACGGATGGGTCCACCCTGCAATGCAGGCAGGAGCCATCTACTTTCCACCCCACGAAGACCCTCCAGCTAACATTTCTTCAGTATGCTCCCAAACTTAGATGCCCTCCCACTCATCAGAGGACCCAGAATCCTTCCTTCCACAGTCAAAGACCTATCCCTACACCCAAAGCTCTTGATCTCTGCTTCCAGGAGTCCCCATCACAGCCTCCCAAAAGCCTCTCTGTGCTCAGACACCCTTGCTGCACAAGGTGTGTCCCCCATTCCAAGTCCAACTGGTCAAAACATAATTTTGGAGGGTCTCATGACAAAGAAATTTCAAGTTGCAAAACAAAGCCCTGTTTCTCTGCCCCTCAGGGAGCGAGAAGGGGCCATTCTAAAATCTCTGTGATCTTCAGTATTTTTATTTCTGCATCAAATAGATATGAAACCAGCTGGGTGCAGAGGCTCACACCTGTAATCTCACCACTTTGGGAGGCAGAGGCAGGAGGATCACTTGAGCCCAGGAATTCGATACCAGCTGGGGCAACATAAAGAGACCCCTTCTCTACAAAAAAATTTAAAAATTAGCAGGGTATGGTGGCACACACATGTGGTCCAAGTTACTCAGGAGCCTGAGGCGGGAGGGGATAGCTTGAACCAAGGACATTGAGGCTGCAGTGAGCTATGTTAACGCCACTGCACTCCAGCCTGGGCGACAGAGCGAGACCCTCTCTCAAAAAAATAAAGACCGGACGCGGTGGCCCACACTTGTAATCCCAGCACTTTGGGAGGCCGAGGCAGGTAGATCACCTGAGGTCAGGAGTTTGAGACCAGCCTGACCAACATGGTGAAACTCTGTCTCTACTAAAAATACAAAATTAGCCAGGCGCGGTGGTGCGTGCCTGTAATCCCAGCTACTTGGGAGGCTGAGGCAGGAGAATTGCTTGAACCCGGGAGGCGGAGTTTGCAGTGAGCTGAGATCGTGCCATTGTACTCCAGCCTGGGCAACAAGAACGAAACTCAAAAATAAATAAATATAAAAATAAAATAAAATAAAAAAGAAATGAAACCTCAGAGTCTTGCCCAGCCCCCGGGGAGAGGGGCATGGCGGGGCACACCCACTTTCCCGCAGCTTGGGCATTTCTAACTAAAGGCTGTAACTTAGGAGGAGGGGCTGGACCCTATAAATAACTAGTCTGGGGGTAGCGGTCTGGGAGGCGGGTGACGTTGCAAAACACCGAGCAGAAACCGGTCTTCTCAGTCCCTGACCTCGGACACCGCTGGTTTGGTCCGGTGGGAACCGACAGCTTGGACTCGCGGCGGGTTGGAACTACAGCTCCCTCCGTGGGGCCCTCGATTGGAAGCACCTGCATTGGGAGCTGAGATACTCGCGGAATTCCGCCACCACTTTTCCGTATGGAAAGCTGAGGGCTTGTGAGAGCGTTATACCGATATGGCCTCCACCTGTCCAAACCGGGAAGGAAGGAATTCCAATGGCCAGCTCTGCTCCTTTACCCTGCAGCTCTCTCCCTCTCATCCTCATTCCAAACCTAGCCTAGAGGTGCAAGAACCCCAACCTTCCGCAGCTGCTCCTTTCTGCAGAACTACATGTCCCAGCAGGCCTGGGGCCGAGCCCCGCCCGCTTGCGGGTTAGCAGTGGCCCAGGAGGGGCGGGCCCGCCGGCGGGAGTCGGAGCCGCGGGGCGCAGGACTGAGCAAGCCTGAAATGCCAGGGGCAGAGCACAGAGCGGTGGGAGGAAGGTGGGGCTGAGGGGCGGGGCCACAGATCCGCCTGATAACCTGGGAGGAGGGGTCGAACGTCAAGGGCAGGGCTGGACTCTGAGGCCCGAGACGAGACTGGATGACTGGGGCGTGGCCGAGGAACCCCAGGGCGGGACCCGAGGAGGGGCTGTGCCCTGCCAGACAGAGCCCCGCGCGGCGCGGCGGCAGCTTCACTCTGGTTCAAGCGCAGGGGATCGGCGGGAAGCTCTTTCACCCCCGCTTCTGCCGGGCTGTAACTGCAATGGGTGAGCCCAGCGGGAGGGCTGTGGGGGGCGGGGGGCTGCTGAAGGAGCACGATTCCTGAACTTTCGCTCCCACCGATGAATGGGTGGAGCGAGCCTGAACACCTGGGCCCATCCCACGGCCGCGATTCCCGCGGGGCGACAGGTCCCTTGACCTCGGTCGGCCCCTTCGGACAGTATAGCCTTCAGGGCGGGGTAGGGAGGGCGGCTGTGGAGTATTCCAGGCTATGTAGGCAGTCACTCGATCCCCGCGGATACCGTCGCCTGGCAGGAGAGGGAGATGGGCCGGATCGAGTTGCCTTTGACATTTCCATCCCCCCGGGAACTGTGTCCAACTAACGATTCTACTTGGAATGGCCTCCCCTCAGTTGAGTCGGGCGGGGCCCTCCCCCTCAGACCAGACTAGCTGTGGCAGCCAAGGCTGAGGTTGAGTGTCCGGTGGGGAGAGGCTCAGCAGGGGCAGAGCCCAGACTCCACCTGGCGGAGGCGGCAGATTACAGAGGTCTCTGGCACCACTGTTAACACCGGAACCACAGACTTCCTCCCCCAAAGCCCCGGTACCAGATGCCATTAAAATTGCCCTCTTTGCTGCCCTCGTGGTCTTCGTGGTCCGCGTGGAGCAAGCAGCAGCACCAGCCCTTGGAAAGACAGGCCTCACCATGCCATGTCCATCTGATGGAAGCTGGTCCCACCAGCTCAGCCCCAGGGCTCCTTTCTGCTACTGCATTCAGGCAGCCAGGTCAGATCATTATCTCCCATCTCCTAAAACTTACACTGTGGAGAGCTGGGCTGGGATTTTAGATCCAGGCAGCCTTGATACCTGGCTAACTTCAGACAAGTTCCTTTTTCTGTTTGGGCCACGTTTCCTCACCTGTAAAATGGACACTGCAGCTATGTCTGCTGTTCCACATTGTTGATAGAACTGGATGCTGTGGTGACATTTGGGACACTATCATGGTGCCTGGGGTGGGTGGGTGCCCAGGCCTGTGGGCTTCTGTCTTTCATCAAAGAACTTCAGATCCCAGAAAATTAAGATTCTCAAAACATAACTGTCGGAAAGGGCTTTTGAATCCACCTTGGTGGCCTCTTCCTGCCTCCAGGGCTCATGAGATAGGCTGACTTCATATGAAAGTTTTGAGGATGAGGAAGTCTCTCTCCTCTTCAGATACTGACCCTCTCTCTCCTTATTTCCTTGGTGCCCAGAATAGGGCTTTGGTTATCTTGAATGAATGAATATAAACTCACAGGTGTGATCTGAGCCACCTAAAGCCTTCTTTGGGTTCTGCTCAGCTTGAGGGCATCACCTAAAGGCCACTGGCTGCATTTTCCAGGAGGTGTTTTCTAAGCTGTATCTATATAGGAATGGGGAGGAAAGCTAAGTCATTGTAGACTGAGAGAAAGGGAATAAGAGTCTGTTCCAGACCAGCTAGGGCTGACAAGCTTAGGCAGCTGGGGGCAGAGGGCACTGAGAATGAGGCCCTGAGCTAGCACCGTGTGGGAAGTGCCTATGGGAGGAGCTGTGTATTGACATTTAGGATCAAATTCTGCTCCACACCTTGCATTCTTGCATGGGGGAGGTGAAAAACCTGAGTATTTCCGGCATCTCCTTGGAAGTCCCTGGGGACTTAGAGACAGACACTGGCATCTGGGAGGAGGCTAATTACTGTTTGCTAGTCTCCTTCTCTTCTTCCCCCGAGCTGGAGCAGTTGGGCAACCAACTGGCTGGCTGTGTGTATGCCCGTGTGTGCACCTGGGTGGTGCTATTTCTTTGTTGGACTCTGCTCTGAAGCCTGGGACAGGAACGGTCAGTGGCCTTGAGTGGCAGAGTAGGACACACCTCTTCCCCTGAGCCTGTGTTTCCCTGTAGTCATATCTGTATTTTTTTTTTTTTTTTGAGATAGGGTCTCACTTTGTCACCTAGGCTGGAGTGCAGTGGCACAATCTTGGCTCACTGCAGCCTTGACCTCCTGGGCTCAAGCGACCCTCCCACCTCAGCCCCCCAAGTAGCTGGGACTACAGGTGCACACCACCATGCCTGGCTAATTTTTTTTTTTTTTTGTATTTTTGGTAGAGACAGGGTTTCAACATGTTGCCCAGGCTGGTCTCAAACTCCTGAGCTCAAGAGATCTGCCCTCCTTGGCCTCCCAAAGTGCTAGGATTACAGGCATGAGCACCGTGCATGGCCTCATATCTGGATATTTAGCATATAGTGTGTCAGAGTTTATGTGTGTTAGTGGTAGTGGTGGGTGTCTGATCCCTGGAGAGCAGGTAGGTGGAGGAGGTGCGCTGGGCCAAGCTAGGTGGGTGAAATCTCCTGAAGCAGGTGGCCTAAAGGATTTAGGTTGGGGAAGGAACGAGCTTGGTAATCACAAGATAGGCTTGGCTGGAAATGGAATCAGAATGGTAGCTGAGAACACATCATGCCTGGAGCCTCCAGTGCAAAGCAAACACTTTTAAATTTCATCATGGAAGCAATGAGCAGCTCTCGAAGCTAGGGATAGATATGGTTTGATAAGTGCTTTAGAAAGATCACTATGGTTGCCGTGATCAGAAGGCACTGGTGAGAAAGAAGTTAGAGTCAGAGAGGCCTGTTGGGGGAAGCGTTTGGTAATACAGGGGAGAAGTGACAGTGCCCAAACTATGACAGAAACAGGACAGTGGGTGAAACAGAGCGAGGAAGTAGCTGGCCCACAGATGTGGTGCCAGGAGCAAAGCAGGAAGGCAGGCATGGAAATGGATTTGGTGATGGATGATGGCTGAGAGCAGGGTGAGTTTGAGGGCAAAGAGAAGCAGATGTGAGAAACAACTGGCCCCCCATGCCAGGCTCCTGCCCCAGGCCCTAATGTCTGAACCCAACTCTACCTCCCTCCAAACCAGGCCCTGGGACTAAGTCTGGCTTTGGGTGTCTTCTTCAATCTCCAGACTTCATCAGGCTTTTGACTCAGGATAAAAACACATCCCTGAGCTGTTCTCCCTTCCTCCCTCCTCTCCCCCTCTGGGGACAGGGAAGCTAGCCTACCGCCCTGTTAAAAGTCTCAAGGGGGACTGGGCGAGGTGGCTCACGCCTGTAATGCCAGCACTTCTGGAGGCTGAGGCAGGTGGATCACTTGAGGTCATGAGTTCGAAGCCAGCCTGACCAACATGGTGAAACCCTGTCTCTACCAAAAATACAAAAATTAGCTAGGTGTGGTGGTGTGCGCCTTTAATCCCAGCTACTCGGGAGGTTGAGGCAGGAGACCCGCTTGAACCCAAGAGGCAGAGATTGCAGTGAGCTGAGATCATGCCACTGCACTCCAGTCTGGGTGACAGAGAGAGACTCCATTTCAAAAAAAAAAGTCTCAAGGAGCTGGCTGGACAATACCCCCTCTCCCACCCTGACCATCCACACCTCTAGGAGAGCAGGACTTTTCTAGTTCCTTTCCCGTCTCTTCAGCCCGAACGGCCCCATGTGTGATCTGGGGAGGCCTGGCTTATCCTGTGATCCTGGAAAGCTTCCTGACCCTCTCAGGGTTTGTTTCTCCACTAGGAAAATGAGGATGGGTGCCATCTCCCAGTCACATGGGCCGCTCCCCAGTCACAGAGTCCTAATTTGGGCAAGCATTAGGTCCCATGAGAAAGGGTGGGTTAGGCACAGATTGTCCTGGTAAGGGTCTCACCTTTGCCACTCTTCAAGCCCTCAGGTTCCAGTATTCATCTTCCCAAAGTATACACCTCCTCTTAGCTTGCGGCAGCAAATGGAAATATCATGGGATGAGATAGCTCAGTTCCATCTCTGTCTCCTCCTTTCAGAGCAGGTTGAGATGAACTCAGTCAGATGGCCCCACGGCCCGCTCCTTTCTTAGCAGCCCACTAATGCTCCAGAACCCTCAGGAGAAGAGCCAGGCCTACCCCCGCCGCCGCCGGCCTGGCTGCTACGCATACCGTCAGAACCCCGAGGCCATCGCAGCCGCAGCTATGTACACCTTCCTGCCCGACAACTTCTCACCTGCCAAGCCCAAGCCTTCCAAAGACCTGAAGCCGCTGCTGGGCTCCGCGGTTCTGGGGCTGCTGCTTGTGCTGGCCGCGGTGGTGGCCTGGTGCTACTACAGCGTCTCCCTACGCAAGGCGGAGCGACTTCGCGCGGAGCTGCTGGACCTGAAAGCTGGCGGCTTCTCCATCCGCAATCAGAAGGGAGAGCAGGTCTTCCGCCTGGCCTTCCGCTCCGGCGCGCTGGACCTTGACTCCTGCAGCCGCGATGGCGCCCTGCTGGGCTGCTCGCTCACGGCCGACGGGCTGCCGCTGCACTTCTTCATCCAGACTGTGCGGCCCAAGGACACGGTCATGTGCTACCGCGTGCGCTGGGAGGAGGCAGCGCCGGGCCGGGCCGTGGAGCACGCCATGTTCTTGGGCGACGCGGCGGCCCACTGGTATGGTGGCGCCGAGATGAGGACGCAACACTGGCCCATCCGCCTGGATGGCCAGCAGGAGCCCCAGCCGTTCGTCACCAGCGATGTCTACTCCTCCGACGCCGCGTTTGGGGGCATCCTCGAGCGCTACTGGCTATCTTCGCGCGCGGCCGCCATCAAAGTCAATGACTCAGTGCCCTTCCACCTGGGCTGGAACAGCACGGAGCGCTCGCTGCGGCTTCAGGCGCGCTACCACGACACGCCCTACAAGCCACCCGCCGGCCGCGCCGCAGCGCCAGAGCTGAGCTACCGAGTGTGCGTGGGCTCAGACGTCACCTCCATCCACAAGTACATGGTGCGTCGCTACTTCAACAAGCCGTCAAGGGTGCCAGCACCCGAGGCCTTCCGAGACCCCATTTGGTCCACATGGGCGCTGTACGGGCGCGCCGTGGACCAGGACAAGGTGCTGCGTTTTGCCCAACAGATCCGCCTGCACCACTTCAACAGCAGCCACCTGGAAATCGACGACATGTACACACCTGCTTATGGCGACTTCGACTTCGATGAGGTCAAATTCCCCAACGCCAGCGACATGTTCCGCCGCCTGCGCGACGCCGGCTTCCGCGTCACGCTCTGGGTGCACCCTTTTGTCAACTACAACTCGTCGCGCTTCGGCGAGGGCGTGGAGCGCGAGCTGTTCGTGCGCGAACCCACGGGCCGGTTACCTGCGCTGGTGCGCTGGTGGAACGGCATCGGCGCGGTGCTAGACTTCACGCACCCAAAGGCCCGCGACTGGTTCCAGGGACACCTGCGGCGGCTGCGCTCTCGCTACTCCGTGGCTTCCTTCAAGTTCGACGCGGGCGAGGTCAGCTACCTGCCGCGGGACTTCAGCACCTACCGGCCGCTGCCGGACCCCAGCGTCTGGAGCCGGCGCTACACTGAGATGGCGCTGCCCTTCTTCTCGCTGGCGGAGGTGCGCGTAGGCTACCAGTCACAGAACATCTCCTGCTTCTTCCGCCTGGTGGATCGCGACTCTGTGTGGGGCTACGACCTGGGGTTGCGCTCACTCATCCCCGCGGTGCTCACCGTCAGCATGCTGGGCTACCCATTCATCCTACCCGATATGGTGGGCGGCAACGCCGTGCCCCAGCGGACAGCCGGCGGCGATGTGCCCGAGCGCGAGCTCTACATTCGCTGGCTGGAAGTGGCCGCCTTTATGCCGGCCATGCAGTTCTCTATCCCGCCCTGGCGCTACGACGCGGAAGTGGTGGCCATCGCGCAGAAGTTCGCCGCCCTGCGGGCCTCGCTTGTGGCACCGCTGTTGCTTGAGCTGGCGGGCGAGGTCACCGACACGGGTGACCCTATCGTGCGCCCCCTTTGGTGGATTGCGCCCGGCGACGAGACAGCTCACCGTATCGACTCGCAGTTCCTTATTGGGGACACGCTGCTTGTGGCCCCGGTGCTGGAGCCAGGCAAGCAGGAGCGCGACGTCTATTTGCCCGCCGGCAAGTGGCGCAGCTACAAGGGTGAGCTTTTCGACAAGACGCCGGTGCTGCTCACCGATTACCCGGTCGACCTGGATGAGATCGCCTACTTTACCTGGGCGTCCTGACCCAGCCCAGGGCCCGGTAACCGCAAAGCCCCCAGTCTTCATGCAGACCTTGAACCCTCCGTCACACCCGCACCATGTACTCCCAGGAACCTCCCACCTCTATACCACCCATTAAGTGGCTGCTGACTTAAATGTGCTGGAACCAGCTGCTGAAGGTGGGGCCTAGGGAGGGGGCACTGAAGCAATCTCCTGCTCCAACGCACAATCCTTACTGTGCCCTTTCCACCCCCACACTCACACCAATCTGCAGAAACCTCTTCCCTGGGGTGGAAGCCAGAGAGCTTAGAGGAAAAAGGTCAGCTCTCTTCCTGTTATACATGGTTATACATGGTTGGGGTTTAAAAGCACAAAGAGAAACCTCCCCCTCCTGGCTTTCGTGGCCATCTTTGTCCATCTTAGGTGGGGACTTGATCTTATTTAAGGTCTCCAAATAGCCCCCACCACACTTAGAACGTGTGTTTTCTTAGTGTTAGAAGCCAGGCCCTGAGTCCCCAGCACTCACCTGAACTGTGGCTGATTTGGTCCCAGTCCAGCTGGGGAGGTGTTTGGCTGACAAGGAGGCAAGAGATCCCCTCCCAGGGAACAGGAGGACTGGGCTTAGCACAGAGCCATCATCATGTTCCCAATTTGTGAAGAGACTCCTAACACTGCACTAACCCATTTGTGTACATACATGGGCTCAGCCCTGGGCCAAATGTGCCTGATGGGAACAGACTTGCAGGGCCATGCAGGCCAGACTTCGTGCCTTAACTGAAGAGTGTGCGTGTGTGTGTGTGAGAGAGAGAGAGAGAGAGAAACACGCATCATGGGTCCCTGATCTATGAAATGAACACAACCTCTCTGAGGCTGGATGATCTGGAGGAAGGGGGCATGGAGCAAATTTGAGGCTCTGATTGCTGAGCCAGCCTCCTCCCAGGCGGTTTCCCCAGGACTCTCGTAGGAAATAAATAGCCCTTTCAAGATTCCTCAGCTGCCTCACCCCCTGCACATGTGCCTGGGGTGTGGCCTAGAAGGGAGTGATGTTCTTACTCTGGTGGTCTGTGCTTCTGAACACAGGCTACATGCACACACTGACAACTACCAATAAACAGACAGGGGAAGGTCTTTCATCTCAGCCATTTTCTCTTCCCCCCGCCCCCCCTTAGATGGAGTCTTGCTCTGTCACCCAGGTTGGAGTGCAGTGGCACAATCAGCTCACTGCAACCCCTCCTCCTAGGTTCAAGCGATTGAGTAGCTGAGATTACAGGCATGCATCACTATGCCTGGCTTTTTGTATTTTTTAGTAGAGATGGGGTTTACCATGTTGGCCAGGCTAGTCTCAAACTCCTGACCTAGTGATGCACCCACCTTGGCCTCCCAAAGTGTTGGGATTACAGGCATGAGCCACCACGCCAGCCATTTTCTCTTTCTAAGAAGAGCAACCTCAGCCGGAGTGAGTTTTTTCTGACTTTGCAGCTGAGTCTGGAGAAAAGTGGCATGCCAGAGCGGGTCGGTGGGAAACAGGGTGAACTTTAGCTTCCATCAACAGCTCTGGTAGCAAAACCAGTCCCCTACCCCCTAGAGAATGCATCCGTTTCCCCACCTGATATGGTTTGGCTGTGTCCCCACCTAAAACTCATCTTGAATTGTAGCTCCCATAATTGCCATGTGTTGTGGGAAGGACCCAGTGGGAGATAATTGAAATATGGGGGCAGTTTCCGCCATACTGTTCTGGTGATAGTGAATAGATCTCATGAGAGCTGATGATTTTATAAGAGGTTTCCCCTTTTGCTTAGTTCTCATTCTCTCTTGCCTGCCGCCATGTAAGACGTGCCTTTCTGTCATGCTTGTGAGGCCTCCCCAGCCACGTGGAGCTGTGAGTTCATTAAACCTCTTTTTCTTTATAAATTACCCAGTCTTGGTTATGTCTTTATCAGCACTGTGAAAATGAACCTATACAGTAAATTGGTACCAGTAGAGTGGGGCGCTGCTGTAAATACCCAAAAATGTGGAAGCAACTTTGGAACTGGGTAACAGGCAGAGGTTGGAACAGTTTGGAGGGATCAGAAGACAGGAAAATGTGGGAAAGTTTGGGACTTCCTAGAGACTTGTTAAATGGCTTTGACCAAAATGCTGATAATGATTGGGACATGAAATCCAGGCTGAGTTGGTCTCAGATAGCGATGAGGAACTTGTTTGGTACTGGAGTAAAGGTGACTCTTGCTATATTTTAGCAAAGAGACTGGCTGCATTTTGCCCCTGCCCTAGAGATTTGTGGAACTTTGAACTCGAGGGAGATGATTTAGGGTATCTGGCAGAAGAAATTTCTAAGCAGCAAAGCATTCATGAGGTGACTTGGGTGCTGTTAAAAGCATTCAGTTTTAAAAGGGAAACAGACTATAAAAGTTTGGAAAATTTGCAGCCTGATGATGAGATAGAAAAGAAAAACCCATTTTCTGAGGATAAATTCAAGCCCCCTGCAGAAATTTGCATAAGTAACAAGGAGCCAAATGTTAATCACTAAGACATGGGGAAAATGTCTGCAGGGCATGTCAGAGACCTTTGCAGCAGTGCCTCCCATCACAGGCCTGGAGGCCTAGGAGGGAAAAAATGGTTTTGTGGGCCAGGCCCAAGGTCCCCTTGCTGTGTGCAGCCCAGGGACTTGGTACCATGCATCCCAGCTGCTCTAGTCATGGCTAAAAGGGGCCAAGATACAGCTCAGGCCTTGGCTTCAGAGGGTGCAAGCCCCAAGTCTTGGCATCTTCCACGTAGTGTTGAGCCTGCAGGTGCACAGAAGTCAAGAACTGAGGTTTGGGAACCTCTGCCTAGATTTCAGAGAATGTATGGAAATGCATGTATGTCCAGGCAGAAGTTTGCTACAGGAGTGAGGCCCTCATGGAGAACCTCTGTTAAGGCAATGTGGAAGGGGAAGCCCCCACACAGAGACCCCACTGGGACACTGCCTAGTAGAGCTGTCAGAAGAAGGCCACCGTCCTCCAGACATCAGAATGGTATATCCACTGACAGCTTGCACCATGCACCTGGAAAAGCCACAGACACTCAACGCCAGCCTGTAAAAGCAACCGAGAAGTAGGCTGTACCCTGCAATGCCATAGGGGTGGAGCTGCCCAAGACCATGGGAACCCACCTCCTGCATCAGTGTGACCTGGATGTGAGACATGGAGTCAAAGGAGACCATTTTGGAGCTTTAAGATTTAACTGCCCTGCTGGATTTCAGACTTGCATGGGGCCTTTAGCCACTTCGTTTTGGCCAACTTCTCCCACTTGAAATGGGTGTATTTAGCCAATGCCTGTACCTCCGTTGTATCTAGGAAGTAACTAACTAGCCTTTGATTTTACAGGCTCATAGGTGGAAGGGACTTGCCTTGTTTCAGATGAGACTTTGGAGTATGGACTTTTGAGTTAATGCTGAAATGAGTTAAGACTTTGGGGGACTGTTGGGAAGGCATGATTGATTTTTAAATGAGAGGACATGAGATTTGGGAGGGGCCAGGGAGAGAATGATATGGTTTGGCTGTGTCCCCATCCAAATATCACCTTAAATTGTAGCTCCCATAATTGTGGGAGGGACCTGGTGGGAGATAATTGAATCATAGGGGCAGTTTCTCCCATACTGTTCTGGTGGTAGTGAATAAGTCTCACGAGATCTGATGGTTTAATAAGGGGTTTCCCCTTTTGCTTGGCTCTCATTCTCTCTTGTCTGCTGCCATGTAAGATGTGCCTTTTGCCTTCCACCATGATTGTGAGGCCTCCCAGCCACATGGAACTGTGAGTTCATTAAACCTCTTTTTCTTCATAAATTACCCAGTCTCGGGTATGTCTTTATCAGCAGTGTGAAAACAGACTAATACACCACTCCTCTACCTTCTTTATTTTCTCAGTGTGGAAAATGCCTGATGAAAGCTTTGGGGCCCTCACAGATGCACAACTCAAGTGCTGATTCTATCACTTATCTACCAGCTCTGTGACCTTGAACAAGCCGCTTAACCTTGCTAAGCCTCTGTTTTCTCATATGTCAAATGGTGATAATAATGCCTACCTCCCGAGGTTGTTGTAAGAATTATAAGCACAAATGTATGTAAAGTGCCTGGCACAAAGTAGGTGCTCAATAAATGGTAGCTATTATAATACTATTTCTTGTTTTATTGATTAAAAACAAGGATCCTTCTAGAACCCAGCTCTCAGCCTGGATGGCTTTCTCTGGGCCTGCTGTGACACCCCCTCCCCCGTCCTCTGTACATAGCACCAGTTGAACTCTGAGTTTGTGACCCAAGGGACACTGTAGTCCAGGAGAAAGGCAAAAAGAGAGATACCTCAAGGTGGGATGTCAGGAGCCAGGATTCCTGGGTCCCTGGGAGATGGAAAGTGAATATAGTTTCTCTCCTTTTCATCAAGTGTCTACCATCTACCAACTGATACTCACTGATAAGCCTCCCCAGGCCCTGGTGTCCAGCCATGTGCTCTAGAGTAAGTGTAGAAGGAGAACCCCAGGCTGGGCCCTGGAAAGTTCCTTAAATGGCTGGAGAACATGACCCACATTTGAATGGTTCTCCAGCTTTCTATGCAACCTGAAACCAGTTTTACCTAACCTTGGTTTCTTCATCTTTAAAATGGAATTTCTAGGATTCACTGAGATGTGTATAAAACCCTATGCAGGGGGAGTGGGGAGGAATAGCATTAGGAGATATACCTAATGTAAATGACGGGTTAACGGGTGCAGCACACCAACATGGCACATGTATACATATGTAACAAACCTGCACGTTGTGCACATGTACCCTATAACTTAAAGTATAATAAATTAAGAAAAAAAAAGAGGAAAAAAATAAATAAAACACACAAAAATTGGCAAAGAGTAAGTGCTCAATAAATGGTAACTCCTATGAACTATTATAAACAAGGAACAAAGAGAGAAAAGCCTTGGCTAGAACCTGTATTGTCCAATATGGTAGTGAGTAGCCACATATGGCTTCTTAAATTTACTTCTAAAATTAATTAAAATTCAGTTCTTTAGGCACATTAGCCACACTTCAAATGTTCAACAGCCATATGTGACTAGTGGCTAATATATTGGACAGTGCAAATTATAGAACTTTTCCATAGTTGCAACAAGTATTATTGGACAGCCCTGGACCAAGCAGTGTATGACATGGGGGGGAAGAAGATAATCTGTGAGGCTTCCCTGGAGGAGGAGTACCTTTTAGAAGGGCATTGAAGGCAGGCAGGAGTGTCTGACGGCCTGGATGGAAACCAGACTGCACACCTTGTCTGGGCAAATTCCAACAAACTGGCCCTTGGCTTGGGATCTGGTTTCTTGTCTGGCTTCTGCCATTGACCCCATTAATCACAAAAGCACAGATGAACAAACTGAAGCTCTGAGAGAGGAGGGTATTGGCCTGAGGTCATATGGAAAATTAGTAACCACAGCTGCACTAGAACGTTGGTATCCTGTTTGCAGGGATCTAGAATCTCAGACCCAGAACTCATCCCCTTTCAACAGCATGGCCCATCCCAGTCTGTATACCTCCAAGGATGGGAGCTAGCTGAAATGTGCATCTCTGAAGCTGCCACCAAGTGGGCCTGATTCTAGGCCGAGAAGTGTTTCCCCTTTCTCCATTGATGCTAAAAAAAGATTCAAGTAATTGGGAGGGCATGCTGAAATGTCAGGATTCACGAGGATCTTTCTTGGAGTTAGGGAAAGAGAAAAGAACTGGGCTGCCAGCTATCCCTATCCCTAATTTCCCAGGGTGCCAGGAACCCTGGCTCCTGCCAGCCTTTTCCAGTCCCTTATCCCTGCACATTCCAAATTTATCTCTCTCTGCACATCTGGATCTGGGTGGGGGCGGGTGCTGACCCTCCCCTGTGGAGCTTCCAGCAGCCTTGTTGTAGCCAGAATTCCTCACTGGTCTGCCCTCTACCCCTGGGCTGGTGGGTGGTGGGTGTGATATGCATAAATGGGAACTCCCTTCAGGAGTACTGGGGATGAACTGAGTGGCCATTGCAGGAAGCCTGGGACTGGAGCCTAGGCTCCCATTCTGTGACCTTCTGTTCCTGAGAGTGTGTCTCAGTTTCCCTTCCAACACTATATGAATGGGTTGAGCCCCAGCCAAGCCTGCTCTATGAGCCCAAGCTATGGGTTTTCTGGGAGAGTTTTTGTTGTTGTTTCCCCAGATTTCTAACCCTGGATCTGGCTCCAGAGCAAATCTTATTCTCCTGGTTCCCCTCACCAAGTACTCTGGTCGTTTCTCCCCTCCCTGAGTAAGGGCCAATGTTGACTTCTTTGTCCCCTGGCCACTATCCCACATCAGACCTAATCAACTGGAGCCTGGACCACTGTAGTGGTCTCCTAATTCTTTCCGCTCTTGGACCCGGCAAACCACCAATCCACACAGCAGCCAAGGAAATCTTCGTGAAATTCAATCATGTCATTTAGAAAAAAATCAAAGCTTTGGTGTTCAAGGCATCTATGATGTGGCTTCTTTTCACTCCTCTGTCTCTGCTTCTGTGAGGGAGACACACACACACAAACACACACACACACACACACCCCATCATATTTTGAAAGGCATTTGAAGAAATACTACCTTCTATTCTGGAAACAGCTATACCACCATCCCTTCCAGGAAAGGTCTGCACAGACTCAGCCTTGAAGAAAAATGCAGTGGCAACTGCGTGGTTTCCTTTCCTGCCATTGTTCGACTCAGTGGGGCTTCTGCTGATACCCTACCCTCTCCAGACACACCCCTGCTCCCAAGGAAGCAGCCTGCTTTTTATCTTAAGGCTAGTCCTGCCCAAGGATCTTTCCAGCAGCTTGAGGAGAGGGTAGAATACTCGGCCTTATGCGGCGAGCCCTGGGTTGCATGGCTCCAGGGTTGCGGGGAGGTATGGGAGAAAACAGAAGAGGAGGCCCCGTTCTGGGGAGCTCTCAGTCTAGAGAACAGGAAAAGGTTGTGCCTCTTGTGCTCTGTATTCTTGTGCTGTTTTTCCCTCTCAGGCCCCTTTTCCCTCCCCAGGGAGTCTAGTTGAGAACTTCCTATTACATAATCCTGAGCAGGATGGCGGCGGGAGGGGACGGAAAGTGGATTTGGTAGGGATTGGGGAAAGGCAGACAATCGGTCTCACCGAGACTGGGCCCCCGTAGCACAGCTTCAAGAGAGCAGCAGCAGGGGGAAGGGGGAATGGCACTTCTAGAAAAGAAAGAACGAGTTGGGCCAAAGGATGGATGGCTAGAGGTCAGAGCCTCTACTCCCCAAACATAGGGGCCTCACTTGGGGTCACATATCTGCACAGGAATTTCAATTGAAATCCTACCATTATAACTTCATTCCTTAAAGTCTTCAATTCAGCAAACAAGCACTTTCAGTAGAGGTGTAAGGCATTGTTTTTTAAGGTCAAAAGGGTATTTTGGTTTTCTACTGCCCCTGTGAAATGCCCCTAGGAGGTGAAAGCTTAAGACCACCCTGCTGGGGAGAGGGTCATTTGATGCTGCTTCACCCTGAGCAGTGAAGGGGTAGTGGGGAAACAGGTGGTGCTCCAGGCAGAGCCTCTTTCGTGTGGGTGGGAAAATAGGGAAAATTTCAAGGAGGAGATGCTCTGGAGCTTGGAGGGCTTCCGATTGAAGGGGAAATTGAAGTCTTAGCCCCACATGTCCCGTCGCAGGTGAAACCACATCCAATACAAGGAGGTAAACTACCCACCTTCACTGACTCCCACAATATTTACCTAGTTGCCTTCCCTATCACCCAGCCAGAGTCCACCCCACAGGGGCCAGAAGAGGTACATAGTTCCTTGCACATTTATCTCTGTGCCTGAGACATCACAAGAGATATTGGCCACTTTCTAAACCTTACAAACCTTGGGGGCCAGAACCCGGCTGGGACCAGTTCTTTCAGGCACAGGGATATACATAGTCTGTTGCACTTAGAACACTTGCTCCCTCTTCCCTCCCTAGTGCCCACAGTTGGCCTCTCAATAGTGTTATGCTTGAATTCCACTCCTAGCTATACCACTGAGCCTCCCAGACATAACCACTCTGGACCCTAGGTTGAGCCCTGACCCTGACCATTGATGATTCTGTCTGGACCCCACATCCTCTAAACATGACACAGAAGCCAGACTGGGACTTTGTGGCCCCTGCTCAGGGGCAGGGAAGTTTTGAGTCTATGTTAAAACATGACTCTACCAAATAGTGCTTTTTCAGGTGCTGGGCACAGTGGCTCATGCCTGTAATCCCAGCACTTTAGGGGGCTGAGGAGGGAGGATTGCTTGAGACCAGGAGTTTGAGACCAGCCTGGCTAATATAGTAAGACTCCATCTCTTTAAAACAAATAAATAGTTCTTTTCGTATAAGTAAATTTCTAGAAAAAATCAAAAGCACAAAATAAATTATTTTTTTTTTTTTTTTTCTGAGACAGTCTTGTTCTGTCACCCAGGCTGGAATGCAGTGGCGTGATCTCAGCTCACTGCAACCTCTGCCTCCCGGGCTCAAATGATTCTCATGCTTCAGCCTCCCGAGTAGCTGGGACTACAGGTGCGCACCAACACACTTAGCTAATTTTTTGTATTTTAGCAGAGACAGGGTTTCACTATGTTGCCCAGGGTGATCTCGAACTCCTGAGCTTAGGCAATCCACCTGCCTCAGCCTCCCAAAGTTATAGGATTACAGGCATGAGCCACTGCGCCTGGCCACAAAATAAATTACATTCTATTTAAAAAGTGATATACAATGATAAGCAAGATTTTAAATAGTGTAACACATATAATTTGACCCACTTTTAATGGACTTCAATGATCAATTATGATTTAGTCTAACTCTACTTTTAGCATAAAAGTTGGGTGAAACAAAAAGTCCAAAGATACATACAGCAAAAACTGTTAGAATTGAAGGCAGACTAGACATTTCAATAACAACAGCCAGGCGCAGTGGCTCACACCTGTAATCCTAGCACTTTGGGAGGCTGAAGTGGGAGGATTGCTTGAGCCCAGGACTTCAAGATCAGCCTAGGCAATATGGTGAGACCCCATCGCTATTATAAAAAAGAAAAGGGGCTGGGTGCGGTGGCGCGGTGGCTCATGCTTGTAATCCCAGCACTTTGGGAGCCCAAGGTGGGCAGATCACTAAGTCAGGAGTTCGAGACCAGCCTGACCAATATGGTGAAACCCCATCTCTACTAAAAATACAAAAATCAGCTGGGCGTGGTGGTGGGTGCCTGTAATCCCAGCTACTCAGGAGGCTGAGGCAGGAGAATCGCTTGAACCCGGGAGGCGGAGGTTGCAGTTAGCCAAGATCGCTCCATTGTACTCCAGCCTGGGCAACAGAGCAAGACTTCATCTCAAAAACAAAAACAAAAACAAACAAACAAAAAAATATATACATAAACATATATATATACATACACATACATACATATACACATATATATACATATATATAAATAACAATAATATTGGACAATCACCGTTTTTACTGAGCAATGACTGATGAAGTGTGTGTTGCTCTTTTGTTTTGTGTTTTAATTTTTTTCTACCAAAATAACACGTTGATGGGTTGTTTTTTCCCTTTACTTGTTTATTAAATACTTGATGAAGTTGAGAGGCACATTACCAGAATATACCGTATTGGCCCTCCTGCCTCTTTTCTTCCCTAGTTAATTTTTGGTTTGGTTAGAAGAGAGGAGGGTCCAAAACCATTGTCATTATCATGAGTTTGGCTTATAAATACCATGGTGAAGAGACACCTCAAGTATGTCTGTTTTTAAAATTCATCTTATGGGTTAACAAGCCAGCCTGGTGGGATGTTTGCCATCATCACTTAACCAGTAATGGTTCTGAAGGTTTTGTGTATCCACATGATCTTAGACCTTCTTTTAATGATTGTATTAACTTACAAGCTCAGGTACTGTTTTCCTTAAGACTGTCTTAGAGCACACTGACTGAATGTTAATGTGTGTAGCAAAGTGTTTACTTGCTTTAAATAACCAGCTCTGTAATCATTCTTTATGTTTCTAGCAGTCTCTGTAGTTGTCTTTCTTCAGAGAAATATTTTTCCTGGGGTTATCTTGTTTTTAGGGTGGTAAGATTTCATTCTTTTTTCCTTTTCTCCTGAGATCAATGCAGGTGGGTTGGTAAGGGCTGTTGTTTTTCAGTAGCATGTTAGGTATACTTGGGTGGATGGGACGGTTGTTAGTATTTTTTTAGAATCTTGCTTAATACTGTCCATTAGACCTTGAGCTATATTGGCAAAATGCTTTATTTATTTGTTTATTTACTTGTTATTATTTATTTGTTATTATTTATCTTGTTATGTTGCCGAGGCTGGAGTGCAGTGGTGTGATCATGGCTCACTGTAGCCTTGACCTCCTGGGCTCAAGAGATCCTCCCACCTCAACCTCCCAAGTAGCTAGTGCTTTATTTATTTATTTATTTATTTATTTTTATTTTTTAAGACAGAGACTCACTCTGTAGCCAAGCTGGAGTGCAGTGACGTGATCTCAGCTCACTGCAACCTCCACTTCCTGGGTTCAAGATATTCTCCTGCCTCAGCCTCCCAAGTAGCTGGGAGTACAGGCATGCGCTACCTTGCCCAGCTAATTTTTTTATACTTTTAGTAGTAAAAAAAGACCATGTTGGCCAGGATGGTCTCAATCTCCTGACCTTGTGATCTGCCCGCCTTGGCCTCCCAAAGTGCTGGGATTACAGGCCTGAGCCACCGCGCCCAGCCTAGTGCTTCAATTTTTAACTGCAGAAGATATGATTCAGTTGAGTTTATTTTTTTTTTTTAAGAAAAAAAGTAAATGCAGAATTGGGGGGATTAACATGGGCATGTTGCCTATGTTAGAATGATTAAGTTAAACCTCTTAATTTTTATTTGTCCAAGGCAGACATGATTCAAGGACGACGTACTACCAAAACAACTCCTCCGGCTGCAGAAACCATGCTGTAAGTTCCTCTGGGGTGCTGACTGCCTTTTGCCTCTTTTAACTGGATATTGCCATGGTGGTGTGAATTCTGTCAATTCACTGGATGGGTGGGGAAATCAACATTTCCCCCAAAGCTTTAGGCAAAAGTGAGTTTTTGTTTGTTTTTCTTTTGGCTTTCACCTTTAAATCTTAAATGCTATGATTGCAGGCTGCAGGTATGACAGGCAATAAGCAGGTGAAGAGCCAATGGAAAAGTGTTCAAAAACACCTGCGTTAGCTAACAGGCTTTTGAATGTATTGCTGTGGTCCACAGAGTAGGCTGGAGAAGGCAGCGGAGATGCTATATCAACTACTGCAGCCCTAAAACAAGGTTGGTGTCTCTGTGGACTTTAAAATTGTTCCTATGCAGCTTATTTTATTTTTGTTTAATCAAATAAATAAGAGGGTTTTTCCATGGCAAAAAAAAAAAAAAACAATAATAGTTGGAGATTTCCGTACCCCACTTTCAATAATACATAGAACAACTAGACAGAAGATCAACAAGGAAATAGAATATTTGAACAATACAAACCAGCCAGACCTAATACATCTATAGTATACTCCATGAGCAACAACAGAATATATATTCTTCTCAAGAGCACATGGAACATTCTCCAAGGTAGATAATCTATTATTCCATAAAACAAGTCTCAATGCATTTAAAAGGACTGAAATCATACAAAGTATATTCCATAGTCACAATGGAATAAAATTAGAAATTAATAACAGAAGGAAGTTGGAGAAATTAACAAATGTGTGGAATTTAAACAACAGACTCCTGAATAACCAGTGATCAGAGAATAAATCACAAGAGAAATTTAAAAATACTTTGAGATAGGCCAGGTGCGGTGGCTCATGCCTGTAATCCCAGCACTTTGGGAGGCTGACGCGGGTGGATCACCTGAGGTCAGGAGTTCAAGACCAACCTAGCCAAGATGGTGAAACCCTGTCTCTACTAAAAATACAAAAATTAGCCAGGCATGGTGGTGGGCACCTGTAATTCCAGCTACTCGGGAGGCTGAGGCAGAGAATTGTTTGAACCCGGGGAGCAGAGGTTGCAGTGAGCTGTGATCATGCCACTACACTCTAGCCTGGGCGACAGAGTGAGACTCTATCTCAAAAAAAAAAAAAAAAAAGAAAAAATACTTCAAGATAAGTGAAAATGAAAATATACTAAAACTTATGTAAGGCAGTGAAAGCAGTATTTAGAGGGAGATTTATAGCTGTAAACACCTATCACAAAAAAGAAGAAACACATTATGGAAAACAGTATGAAGATTTCTTAAAAAGTTAAAAATAGAACTACCAGATGATCCAGCAATCCCACTTCTGGGTATATAGCCAAAGGAAATGAAATCAGTATGTTGAAGAGATATCTACAATCCTATGTTCACTGAAGCATTATTCACAATAGGCAAGATATGGAATCAACCTAAGTATCCACCAGTAAAGGAATGGATAAAGAAAGTGTGGCATATTTATATAATGGAATGCTACTCAGCCATTTAAAAGAAGGAAATACTGTCATTTGTATTGGATGAATTTGGAGGACATCATGTTAAGTGAAACAAGCTAGGCACAGAAAGACAAATACTATAAGATCTCATTTATATGTAGAGTCTAAAAATAAGTCATACTCAAGATACAGAGAGTAGAATGTTCACTGCCAGAGGCTGGGAGGAATGGGGAGATGTTGGTCAAAGGGTACAAAGTTTTAGTTAGAACAGATGAATTAGTTCTGTGGATCTATTACATAGCATGGCAATATACTTAATATGTATTGTATACCGGGGAAAATAAGAATATAGTTTTTTTTAACAAGAAAGATTTCATGCCAGGCACTGTGGCATGTGGCTGTAATTCCAGCTACTCCAGAGGCTGAGCTAGAAGATCACTTCAGCCTAGAAATTCGATACTATCTTGGATAATATAACAAAATCCATTGAAGAAGGAAGAAGGAGGAAGGAGGAAGCAGGAAAGAGGAAGGAGGAAGGAAGAAGAAGGAGAAGGAGATGGAGACAGAGATGGAGATGACAAAGACGAAGATGAAGATGAAGAAAAAGAAGAAAGATTTCAAATCAATAACCTAGGCTTCCATGTTGAGAAACTAGAAAAAGAAGAGCAAATTAAATCCCAAAACAAATAGAAAGAAGAAAATAATAAAGACTAGAGTGTAAATAAATGAAATAGAGTATAGGAAAACAATAGGGAAAAATCAATAAGAACAAAAGTTGGTTCTTTTAAAAGATTAACAAAATTGATAAACCTCTAGCTATGCTGATTAGTGAAAGAGAGACTCAAATTACTAAAATTAGGAAGAAAAGAAGGGACATTAGTACCAACCTTACAGAAATAAAAATGGATTACAAGGCAATGCTATCAATAGGTATATGCCAACAAATTAGATAAAATAGATGAAAGGGATACATTCCTAGAAAGGCACAAATTACAGAAACTGACTGAAGAAGGAATAGAAAACTGAACAGATGTATAAAAAGTAAATAGATTAAATTAGCCATTTAAAAAACTCTCACAAAGAAACACCAGATGGGTTCACTGGTGAATTCTATCAATATTTAAAGAAAAATTACACCAATACTTTAAGCTCTTCCAAAAAATAGAACGGGAGGGTACGCTTCTCAATTCATTCTATGAGGTCAGTATTACCCTGATAACCATAATCAAAGACATCACAAAGAAAGAAAACTACAAACCAATAGCCTTTATGAATATGCAGTTGACCCTTGACCAACATGGGTTTGAACTGTGCAGGTCCACTTATAGGCAGATTTTCTTCCACCTCTGCCACCCCTGAGACAGCAAGGCCAACCCCTTCTCTTCCTCTTTCTCCCCAGCCTACTCAACATGAAGATGACAAAGACCTTTATGATTATCTATTTGTACTTAATAAATAATAAATCCATTTTCTCTGCCATATGACTTTCTTAATAACATTTTCTTTGCTCTAGCTTACTTTATTGTAAGAATATAGTATATAATACATATAACATACAAAATATGTGTCAATCAACTGTTTATGTTATCAGTAAGGCTTCTGGTTAACAGTACACTATTAGTAGTTAAGTTTTTAAATTTTTTACTCAAGTAAATCTAGCCACAGTTAAGTTTTGAGGGGGTCAAAAGTTATACATGGATTTTCAACAGTGTGGGGGTTTGGCATCCCAACCCCCAAGTTTTTCAAGTGTCAGGTATAGATGCAACCATCCTCAATAAAATACTAGCACACTGAGGCCAGGCGTGGTGGCTCATGCCTGTAATGCCAGCACTTTGGGAGGCTGAAGCAGGTGGATCACCTGAGGTTAGGAGTTCAAGACCAGCCTAGCCAAGATGGTGAAACCCCATCTCTACTAAAAATACAAAAATTAGCTGGGCATGGTGGTGGGTGCCTGTAATCCCAGCTACTAGGGAGGCTAAGGCAGGGAGTTGCTTGAATCCAAGAGGCAGAGTGAGCCAAGATCGTGCCACTGCACTTCAACCTGGGCAACAGAGTGAGACTCCATCTCAAAAAAAAAAAAAAAATACTAGCACACTGACTGAATCTAACAGCATAAAAAAAGGATTATACACCAAGACCAGGTGGGATTTATCCCAGGAATGCAAGGTTGGTTCAACATCCAAAAGCAATCAATGTAACACCCCATATTGATCATGTAAAAGACAAAAACACATGATTATCTCAGATGAAGAAAAAAAAGTGACAAAATCCAACACCTTTTCATGATTAAAAAAAAGCACTCAACAAAGCAGGATAAAATGGGAACTTCCTCAATCTGATAAACAGTATCTACAAAAAACCCACAGCTAACATCATACTTAATGGTTAAAAACTGAAAGTTTTTCCCATAACATCAAGAACTAGATAAAAATGTCACTCTCACCATTTACTTTCAAGGTTGTACTGGATTTGCTAGCCAGGGCAATTAGGCAAGAAAAAGAAATAAAGGGAATCTAATTTGGAAAGGAAAAAGTAAAACTATCTCTTTATGATATGATCTTATATTTAGAAAGTCCTAAGGAATCTACAACTAAGCCATTAGAACTAATAAACAAGTTCAGCAGTGTTGCAGGAAAAAAATATGAAAGTCATTTGTATTTCTGTACACTAGTGAAGAACAAACCAAAAATGGCACAGGCCTGTAGTCTCAGCTACTTGGCAGGCTGAGGTCAGAGAATAGCTTGAGCCCAGGAATTTGAGACCAGCTGGGCAATATAGCAAGAACCCATCTCTAAAATAAAATAAAATAAAATAAAATAAAATAAAATAAAATAAAATAAAATAAAACGACAGTGTGGTAATGGCATAAGGATAGACATATAGTGCAATGGAACAGAATTGGGCGCCCAGAAACAAATCTTCACATTCATGGTCAAATGAATTTTGGCAAGGGTGCCTAGACACTTCAATGGAGGAAAGAATTGTCTTTTCAACAACTGATGCCAAGACAACTGAATACTGTATTCACATTAAAAAAAATACAAAGCTGGATCCTCTACCTCACATCATATACAAAAATTAATTCCAATGGATCACAGACATGAATGTAAGAGCTAAAGCTATAAAACTCTTAGAAGAAAACATACATCTAAATCTTCATGACCTTATATTAGGCATTGGTGTCTTATATGGGACAATAAAATACAAGCAACAACAGAAAAAAACAGACCAATTTAACATCATTAAAATTAAAAACTGTTGTGCTTCAAAGGACACCATCAAGAAAGTAAAAAGATAGTCTGCAGAATGGGAGAAAATTTTGCAACTTATATATCTGATAAGGGATTTGAATCTAGAGTACATAAAGAACTCTTGCAACTCAACAGTAAAAGGACAAATAACCCAACTTAAAAGTAGGCAAAGGATTTGATTAGACATTTCTCCTAAGAAGACAAGCAAATGGCTAATAAGTACATGAAAAAATGCTCACAATAGGCCGGGTGCAGTGCTCACGCCTGTAATCCCAGCACTTTGGGAGGCCAAGGTGGGCGGATCATGAGGTAAGGAGTTTGAGACCAGCCTGGCCAATATGGTGACACCCCATCTCTACTAAAAGTACAAAAATTAGCCAGGTGTGGTGGCGGACGCCTGCAGTCCCAGCTATTTGGGAGGCTGAGGCAGAAGAATCGCTTGAACCCAGGAGGCAGAGGTTGCAGTGAACCGAGATCACGCCACTGCACTCCAGCCTAGGAAACAGAGTGAGACTCTGTCTCAAAAAAAAAAAAAATGCTCAAAATAATTAGCCATTAAGACAATGCAAACCAAAACCACAATGGGATACCAATTTACACCAAATAAAGTGACTATAATAAAAAAGACAGATAATAACAGATGTTGGTGCAGATATAAAGATATTGGAACCTGTATACATTGCCGGTGGGAATGTAAAAGTTGAAGCTGGAAAGGTTTGGGGGAAATGAGGAGTGGCTGCTAATAGGTATAGTTTTCTTCTTTGGGGATGATGAAAATGTTCTAAAATTGATTGTGATGGTTGCACAACTCTATGAATATATTAAAACTTTTGAATTGTACACTTCACTTTATTATTATTATTATTATTATTATTATTTTAGAGGGAGTCTCGCTCTGTCACCCAGGCTGGAGTGCAGTGGCACGATCTCAGCTCACTGCAACCTCTGCCTCCTGGGTTCAAGCAATTCTCCTGCCTCAGCCTCCTGAGTAGTTGGGATTACAGGTGCCCGCCACCATGCCTGGCTAATTTTTGTATTTTTAGTAGAGACAGGGTTTCACCATGTTGGCCAGGTTGGTCTCGAACTCCTGATCTCAGGTGATCCACCTGCCTCGGCCTCCCAAAGTGCTCAGATCACAGGCATGAGCCACCGCGCCGGGCCTACACTTCACTTTAAATAGGTGACTTGTATGGTATATGAACTATATCTCAACAAGGCTGTATAATAATAAATATGGAATAAAGTAATAATACATACTGTAACATGGATAAACCTTGAAAACACTATGCTAACTGAAAGAAGTCAGACACAAGAGGCCCCATGTTATGTGATTCTAATTTTTTTTTTTTTTTGAGACGAAGTCTCGCTCTTGTCCCCCCAGTCTGGAGTGCAATGGCGCGATCTCGGCTCACTGCAACCTCTGCCTCCCAGGTTCAAGCGATTTTCCTGCCTCAGCCTCCCGAGTAGCTGGGATTACAGATGCATACCACCACGCCCAGCTAATTTTTTGTATTTTAAGTAGAGATGGGGTTTCACCATGTTGGCCAGGCTGGTCTTGCACTCCTGACCTCAGGTGATCCGCCCGCCTCAGCCTCCCAAAGTGCTGAGATTACAGATGTGAGCCACCACACCCGGCCGTGATTCTATTTATATGAAATGTCCAGGCATAGATAGAAAGTAGGCAGCGGTAGCCAGGAACTGGAGGGTTTGAGGGTGGTTGGGGGATTGAGGGTGATTGCTAATGGGTATGGGGATTTCTTTTTGGGGTGATGAGAATCTTCTAGAATTAGTTAATGGTGTTGATGATTACACAACCTTGTAAATAAATTAAACCACTGAATTGTGCTCTTTAAAAATGTAAATTTTATGATACATGAATTTTTTAAAGACAGTTTCTTCCTCTGTTGCCCAGGCTGGACTGCAGTGGCATGATGTGAGCTCACTGCAACCCAGCCTCCACCTCCCAGAGCTCAACTGATCCTCCCACTTCAGCCTCCCAAGTAGCTGGGACTACAGGCACATGTCACCATGCCCAGCTAATTTTCGTATTTTTTGTAGAGACAGGGTTTTGCCATATTGCCCAGACTGGTCTCAAACTCCTGGGCTCAAATGATCCACCCTCCTCAGTCTCCCAAAGTGCTGGGATTACAGGTGTGAGCCACCATGCCTGGCCATGATACATGAATTCTATTTCTTTCTTTCTTTCTTTTTTTTTTTTTTTAGATGGAGTCTTGCTTTGTCGCCAGGCTGGAGTGCAGTGGTGCAATCTCAGCTCACTGCAACCTCTGCCTCCCAGGTTCAAGCAATTCTGCTGCCTCAGCCTCCCAAGTAGCTGGGATCACAGGTTCACGCCACCATGCTCAGCTAATTTTTGTATTTTTAGTAGAGACGGGGTTTCACCTGTTGGTCAGGCTGATCTCGAACTCCTGTCCTCGTGATCCATCTGCCTCGGCCTCCCAAAGTGCTCAGATTTCAGGCATGAGCCACTGCGCCCGGCCAATATATTTCATTTTTTTAAAGCCTGCCAGAATGAACATAGAAACAGAGAATTCTGGTTCTAGCTGTAAGGAATAACTGTGACCTGAATGTCCTCTTCAAACTGGGGACAGATTTTACTTTCTCTTTGCCAGCCCCCACCCCGCCCCCCCCACTGCCTTTCCTATCTCCCAGTCTTATGAAGCATAAGCTCTGTTAAAAATTACATTGGCTCACAAAGCACTTGGCTAGCCTTTAAACATTTTCTGCCCATGTCAAATCAGTGTTTGTTTTATTTTTTTCCATAGAGGGACCAAAGTCTCTTTTTCTTTTCCTTTTTTTTTTTTTTTGAGACAGAGTTCGCTCTTATCACCCAGATTGGAGTGCAGTGGCGCAATCTCGGCTCACTGCAACATCCACCTCCTGGGTTCAAGCAATTCTCCTGCCTCAGCCTCCTGAGTAGCTGGGATTACAGGTGCCCACCACCACACCCGGCTAATTTTTATATTTTCAGTAGAGACAGGGTTTCACCATGTTGGCCAGGCTGGTCTCGAACTTCTGACCTCAGGTGATCCACACTCCTCGGCCTCCCAAAGTGCTGGGATTACAGGCGTGAGCCACCATGCCCAGCCCCTTTTTTCAAACCTTAACTTTTAACAACATCTAAATAGAAATAAAATGTTTTAAAAGTCATCATTTCTACAAAGGCAACACATTGTCATTATAGAAAATTTGAAAAATTCATAAAAGTAGAAAGAAGATGACAGTATCACCCCTGTCTCCACATCCAAAAACAACCAGTCTTAATTCCTTTCTTGCCTTTTTATAGAGATGAGGTCTTGCTATGTTGCCAGGCTGGTCTGGAACTCCTGGGCTCAATCAGTCATCCCACCTTAGCATCCCAGGTATACCACAGTGCCCAGCTGTCTTCTTGCCTTCTTTTTTTTTTGAGACAGGGTCTTACTCTGTCGCCCAGGCTGGAGTGCAGTGGTACAATCTTGGCTCACTGCAGCCTCAACTTCCCAGGCTCAAGCAATCCTCCTGCTTCAGCCTCCTGAGAAGCTGGGACCCACAGGCATGCATCACGATGCCCAGCTAATTTTTTAAAATTTTTTTGTAGAGACGAGTTCTCATCATGTTTCCCAAGCTGTTCTCGAACTCCTGGGCTTAAACAATCATACTGCCTCAGCCTCCCAAAGTACTGGGATTACAGGTGTGAGCCACTGTCCCTGGCCTCTTCCTGCCTTTTTTTAAATGCATAGTTTTATTGCCTAGTTGAGACCACACTCACACTCATTGCTTCCCAAATTTTCTCATGAAAAACTTCATATATACAGAAAAATTAAAAGTCTAAAATAATGAGCACCCATATATCACCATCTTGAGTCAACAGTTGTTAAAGTTTTGCTATATTTGCCTTATTTATGTATGTGTGAATTTTTTTTCTGAACCACTTTTTTTTTTTTTTAAGGTAGGGTCTCGCTCCCAGGGTAGAGTTCAGTGGCATAGTCATGGCTTACTGCAATCTCAACCTCAAGCAATCCTCCCACCTCAGCTTTCTGAGAAGCTGGGACTGCAGGCATGTGCCACTATGCCTGCCTAATTTTTTTTTTAACTTTTTTTTTTTTTTTTTTTTTGGAGAGACAGGGTCTCACTATGTTGCTCAGGCTGGTCTAAAGCTCCCGGGCTCAAGTGATCCTCCTACCTCAGCCTCCTCAAGTGGGGGATTACAGGCATGAGACACCTGGCCTGAACCATTTCAAAGTTGCATTACTTACTGACATTGTGACACTACATCCTAAATTCTTCAGCATGCATTTCCTAAGGCCATTTTCCTACACAACTGTTTTTCATATCTAAGAAAATTAATAATTCCCTAATATGATCTAATATCCAGTCCATATTAAAATGACCCCAATTCTCATACCTAACTTTTAAACAGAGTTGCACAATTGTTCTTCACATTGTAATTCTCTGACTCCTGCCAGAGAAGCTAGACCATTGGAAAAGACATTCAACTGACTACAGAAAGATAAGTGCCCATATGTCCTTGGGAATAAACACTATGCATGATCTTGGGTAGGAGTGATGGAAGAAATGTAAAGGAGATAGTTTGGAAGAGAGAGTTTATGCTATTCTCACCTTCCAACAGGTGTACTTATAGCTCCACTAGAAGTGGCGATTAGGTCAAGAAGGAAGCACAACATTATTCTCTTCCTTTACCGAACCAATTTCAGACAGCCATGTTGGCTTCAGCCCTTTGGCCTGGCATTTGTCCTGGGAGTCGTCATCGTCACCCTCAACATCCACTCAAGAAAGCAAAACTCATCGGTGTAGTGTGGGAAATGAAAGAAAGAAAAAGAGAAAGAAAGCCAAAGTGCTGCAAAGAGCAACATGGCTGACTGCTCCATCCCCTATCCTGTCCCAGCTGGCCACCACACTGCGTCAGACCCCTGATTCCACTGGTGGCCAGATAGCCCCGCATATGGCATTTTGCTTTTGTTCTTATTTATTTATTTTTTTGAAATGGAGTCTAGCTCTGTTGCCCAGGCTGGAGTGCAATGACATGATCTTGGCTCACTGCAACCTTCACCTCCTGGGTACAAGCAATTCTCTGCCTCAGCCTCCCAAATAGCTAGGACTACAGGCATGTGCCACCATGCTCAGCTAATTTTTGTATTTTTAGTAGAGAGAGGGTTTCACCATTTTGGCCAGGCTGGTCTTGAACTCCTGACCTCGTGATCCACCTGCCTTGGCCTCCCAAAGTGCTGGGATTATAGGCATGAGCCACCGCGCCTGGCCTAAATTTAAATTTTAATAGGTACAAAGGTTCTATGTAAGGACCATCCTATTTTTTTTTATGGCTGCATAATATTTCATATCATGCATGTGTCAAAGTTTATTAATCCCTGGTAATGGGTATTCAGGTATTTTAAATTATATACTAGTCTAAGCAATACTTACTGAATAACTTTACACTTAGCACTTTGAACTTCAAATTAGAAAACTAGAGTGTCTTAGAAAAACAGAATAATCAAACAGAGGAAGCGTCTTTCGGAGCTTTGATCTTTACACAGTAATCTGAGGAGTCAAAATTCAAACCCAATCCTACAGGTTGTCAGATCTGGAAGAAACCATTGAGATCATCTTGTCCAACTCCCTTGTTGTAATGAGGAAAATAATGTCCAGAGAGGTTCAGAGCTTGCCCAAGATCACGTATCCAGGTAGTGACAAAGCCAGAGATAAACACCAGACCATCACTCCACATGGCTTCTCTCAGCCCTGTGCCTTTTGCCTCAGCATGTGTGTCTGAGAATGATGATCTTTGAGAGTGTCTGAGACACAGTGCACATGAGATAGGCAGGGAGGAAAAGGCCTAGGGTTGGAGGGCCAACGACACTGGTAATTCTTTTTTTTGTTTTTTGTTGTTGTTGTTGTTGTTGTTGTTGTTTTTTGAGGCAAAGTCTCGCTCTGTTGCCCAGGCTGGAGTGTAGTGGCACAATCTCGGCTCACTGCAACCTCCATCTCCTGGGTTCAAGCGATTCTCCTGCCTTAGCTGCCTGAGTAGCTGGGATTAGAGGTGCCCACCACCACTCCCAGCTAATATTTTGTATTTTTTAGTAGAGACGGGGTTTCACCATGTTGGCCAGGCTGGTCTCGAACTCCCGACCTCTGGTGATCCACCCAACTCGGTCTCCCAAAGTGCTGGGATTACAGGCGTAAGCCACTGTGCCCAGCCAACACTGGTCATCTTGAGAGGGTGGGTGGGAGGGGACCCCTGAGCTAAAGGAGCAATGGTCATACTGGATACAGATTTTTTTTTTTTTAATGAAGCAACTTCCTAAGGTGCCAGATGAGTTTTGAGAGAGAGGAAGTAGCCATTAGGGAAACGGAAACCAGAAATTTCTGAGTAGCCTGGGAAAGCTATTTGAAGGAGGCAGGACTTTAGGAGCCACAAAAGTGATGACATAAATGTTTAAACAAAGGTATCTCAAGCCAGAGGCTTCTCCTCTCCAAACTGTGGTTCTGCCTAGGCTCCTTCCCTAAGTCACCCTCTATGGAGAACTTGGGAAGAACTGGTCATTTTTCTTCTTCTTCCTTTTTTTTAAACATTAATTGGTTGGGCACGGTGGCTCACGCCTATAATCCCAGCATTTTGGGAGGCCGAGGCGGGCAGATCACATCACGAGGTCAGGTGATCGAGGCCATCCTGGTTAACATGGTGAAACCCTGTCTCTACTAAAAATACAAAAAAAAATTAGCTGGGTGTGGTGGTGTGTACCTGTAGACCCAGCTACTCAGGAGGCTGAGGCAGAAGAATCACTTGAACCCGGGAGGCAGAGGCTGCAGTGAGTTGAGGTTGCGCCACTCCGCTCCAGCCTAGGTGACAGAGCAAGACTCCGTCTCAAAAAAAAAAAAAAAATTAATTAATTTTGAGATAAGGGTCTCACTCTAGCACCCAGGCTGGAGTGCAGTGGCACAATCTTGGTTCACTGCAGCCTCACCCTCCTGGGCTTAAGCAATTCTCCCCTCCTCAGTCTCCTGAGTAGCTGGGTCTACAGGTACACACCACCATGCCTGGCTAATTTTTTGTTGTTGTTGTTAGAGATGGAGTCTCACTACATTGCCCAGGCTGGTCTCTAACTCCTGGGCTCAAGTGATCCTCCTGCCTCTGCCTCCCAAAGTGCTGGGATTACAGGTGTGAGCCAATGCCACATGCCCAACCTTGGTCATCTTTCTTCTGATCCCTGTAAAAAGAAGCAACAGGCTACACTCTGGAGCCAACCCCATGATGGAGCAAGATGCTCTTCTAGCTCCCCATTCCCTAAGCTTATTCCCCAGGGAAACTCCTGTGGAGTGTAAAGACGACCACATCAGCAATCTCTTTGCTTGCCCTGCTCACTTAATCCACTGAAACTCTACATAAAGAACCTGGGCCATGGGAGGCGGAGCTTGCAGTGAGCTGAGATTGCACTACTGCACTCCAGCCTGGGGAACAGAGAGAGACTCTGTCCTCCCACCAAAAAAAAGAACCTGGGCCAGCACTTTGGGAGGCCAAGACGGGCGGGTCACCTGAGGTCAGGGGTTCAAAACCAGCCTGGCCAACATGGTGAAACCCCGCCTCTACTAAAAAATACACAAATTAGCTGGGCACGGTGGTGAGTGCCTGTAATCCCAGCTACTCGGTGGGGGCTGAGGCAGGAGAATTGATTGAACCCGGGAGGTGGAGATTGCAGTGAGCTGAGACCGCGCCATTGCACTCCAGCTTGGGCAACAGAGTGAAACTCCATCTCTCGGGAAAAAAAAAAAAAAAAAACCAACAACGAAAGAACTTGGGAAAGACTGGACTCTAGAACTCTGGGACTCTGACAGCCAAAGAGCTGGTAAACTGGCTGAGGTCCCAGGGGAGAGCTCTCCCTCAGAGGGGCTGGGGCAGGGCTCTCCTCCAATTTTAGATTAGTTCTGACCAGCCCCATTCTCTGGAGGAAAACTTCAACATGGAAGCATCTCCTGAACTGGTACAACTCTGCTGAGGTCTCCCTGAGGCCTGGCCTAACCCAAAGTGCAGCATCGGCAGAGTGCTGCTCTGCCAGTTGAGAGGGGTGTGGTGGGGCACGGGAGCTGGATTTTGTAACGCTCTGGGGTCTGAGTTCAGGTTGCCCAAGCCCCACTGGCCAAAAGCAAAGTGGTGATGTTGTCAAAGCCTACTCACCTGCCACATCCTAATCTCAGCTCCTCTCTCTCCCACCCTCATCCACCTCCCATAACATGCTTTAGTCCCACCCTACTGTCAGTTATTCCTGCAAAGAATACAACTTACAGCCGGGCGCGGTGGCTCACACCTGCAATCCCAGCACTTTGGGAGGCCGAGGTGGGTGGATCACGAGGTCAGGAGATTGAGACCATCCTGGCTAACACGGTGAAACCCCATCTCTACTAAAAATACAAAAAAAAAAAAAAATTAGCTGGGCATGGTGGCGGGTGCCTGTAGTCCCAGCTACTCAGGAGGCTGAGGCAGGAGAATGGCGTGAACCTGGGAGGTGGAGATTGCAGTGAGCCGAGATCGTGCCACTGCATTCCAGCCTGGGCGACAGAGTGAGACTCCTTCTCAAAAAAAAAAAAAAAAAAAAAAAAAAAATACAACTTATGAGGGACCTCTTCACCAAAGTACCTACATTTTAATGGAACACTCTGTAAGGCCCAGAGGAATGACTCCAAAGCTATATATACATACATACATATATATATATATATATATATATATATATATATATATATATATATATATATATATATATTCTAAAGCAGTCTTCCCTCTGGCACCCCCTCTTCAAAGCACCCCATCTATAGATACTGCCAGGGCCATCTATCTTGTTAAGTCTCAATTTCCCCAGCAATAAAAATGAGCAGCCAAATCAGGTCATTTTCCAGGTCCCTTCCAACTTTGATGTATGAGGTCTTAGACTTGAGATTCCACAGCCTCCCATTCTGAGAGTGCGGAGCTGGCCAGCCCTTGTTAGGAGGCAGCTCGTCTGTGGTTTGGCACTACTGCCCAGCAGGCATTTATTAAATCAGTGTGATATGGTCCCTGCTGGCCTGGAAAAAGAACATTAAGCTCCAAAAACTTCATGCAGCAGGCCTCCTTCAGAGAATGCTGCTCAGAGGGTGAGGAACAAAACCATTCAGGCCCCTGGCTGTGCTCCAAGATCCTGTTCACTAGTACTTTTGCCCTGTCTGCATGGAGAACTGGGGACTAAAAACATCTGGAAGTCTGCTTAAGACCTGGGCGAGTTGTCTTTTCTTCCTTTGGGGGTGGCTGTTCTTGACCCTGGTAATCCAGGCTGACCTCTGCCAATGCCCCTTCACTTCCAATCTTCTGCACTTCATTGGGCAACAACTTTCTAATAAAATCCACATGAATCCAGCTGCTAACAGCTCCTGGAAGGGCTGTGGGATCTAACACCTGCTCCTGCATTCCTTGAGCCCTAGTAGCAAAGGAAAACAGGGCTGAGACCCAGCTCTTGCACCTCTGAGTCTTACAGTGGAGTTGTGGACAAAAAGAGTAGATAGGAAGGCTGGGCGTGGTGGCTCATGCCTGTAATCCCAGCACTTTGGGAGGCCGAGGCAGGCAGATCACCTGAGGTCGGGAGTTTGAGACTAGCCTGACCAACATGGAGAAATCCTGTTCCTAGTAAAAATACAAAACTAGCTGGGCATGTTGGGGGCACATGCCTATAATCCCAGCTACTCGGGAGGTTGAGGCAGGAGAATCACTTGAACCTGGGAGGCAGAGGTTGCGGTGAGCCGAGATGGTGCCATTGCACTCCAGCCTGGGCAACAAGAGCGAAACTCTGTCTCAAAAAAAAAAAAAAAAAAAAGTAGATAGGAAGAGAGAAACATTAATGATGAGGTTTTGCTGAGGGTGGGGAAGGCAGCTGCAGGTGAGGAATGCACAGGTGTAATGATGTGACTGCTGGGTGGCCCAGCAGATTCCTTTGGGTCTGGGCTTGCCTCATTCCCAGTGACCTTAGTCATGTTAACAAGGCTTATCACTCTGGGAGGCAGGCCTGGTCTGAGAGGACAGAGTACACGTGTCACTGACCTGGGGGTCCAGGGTTGCCTGTCCCTCCTCTCTCTGTTGTGACTTGGGGAGTCTAAAATTCTTTCTGTCTCTATTTATTTATTTATTTGAAGTGGAGTCTTGCTCTGTTGCCCAGGCTGGAGTGCAGTGGTGTGATCTCAGCTCACTGAAACCTCTGCCTCCCGGGTTCAAGTGATTCTTCTGCCTCAGCCTCCTGAGTAGTTGGGACTACAGGCATGAGCCACCATTTTTGCATTTTTGCTAATTTTTGCATTTTTAATAGAGACGGGGTTTCACCATGTTGGCCAGGCTGGTCTTGAGGTCCTGACTTCAGGTGATCCACCTGCCTTGGCCTCCCAAAGTGCTGGGATTACAGGCGTGAGCCACTGCGCCCAGCCTATTTATTTATTTTTGAGACAGTCTCACTCTTGCCTAGGCTGGAGTGCAATGGCACCATCTCAGCTCACCACAACCTCCACCTCCCAGGTTCAAGCAATTCTGCTGCCTCAGCCTCCCAAGAAGCTGGGATTACAGGTGTGCACCACCATGCCCAGCTAATGTTTGTGTTTTTAGTAGAGATGGGGTTTCACCATGTTGGCCATAATGGTCTTAAACTCCTGACCTCAGTTATCCACCCACCTCAGCCTCTCAAACTGCTGAGATTATAGGCATGAGCCACCACGCCTAGCCAGTCTCTAATTATTTAAGGTAATACTTTCATTTTTTGAGACAGTCTCGCTTTGTCGCCCAGGCTGGAGTGCAGTGGCACGATCCCAGCTCACGGCAACCTTCATTTTCCAGGTTCAAGTGATTCTCTTGCCTCAGCCTCTCGAGTAGCTGGAATTACAGGTGTGTGCCACCACCCCCAGGTAATTTTTGTATTTTTAGTAGAGACAGGGTTTCACCATGTTGCCCATGCTGGTCTCAAACTCTTGACCTCAAGTGATCTGCTCACCTAGGCCTCAAGTGCTGGGATTACAGGTGTGAGCCACCGTGCCTGGCCCTATTTAAGGTAATATTTACTGAGTACTTACAACATATGTGCCTGCTGCTGGTGAAAGATATATTAGTGAGTAGGACAGACCCAATTCCTGCACTCCAGTCCCACTCACTTGGAAATCCTGACTATGGGTCACAAAGTCTCAGGGCCCCTGGTGGGGGTGGGGTGGGTGTGCTTGGCATTCCAGAGGCGAGAGAGCCATCCTGCCAGTGCTGGGTCTCTTCCATTTGGATCCCTAGCTCTTAAGTTCTCTGGGGATACTGTATGGACACAGAGTTCCCTCTGGTTAAGGTCAGAACTCTGATTCACTTCAGCTTTCTTCTCTCCACCAATGCCAAGAGTCCAAGAAATAAACACAACAGGTTAGAAGGACAACCTTGAGCTGCTTGAGGTTTATTTATAAAGTACAAGGTACACTTACTGGGCCTGGCCTTTTTAATTTTTACTCTTTTGCCTTCCTTTCCACCCAGCCAAGATTTTTGCTTGCTCTCACCTGGGAGTTGAGCCGATTTCACAAATCTGCTCTTGGCTGTCATGAGCCAAATACCAGCACAACCTTCCCTGGACCTGAGGGTGGCTTCATCTTAGAAGGCCCACAAGGATCCTGCTGAAGCAAATGACTCTGCTCCAGTCAGCTCAGGCCTCTATGGAGCAAAGAAACTGGTGTCCTTCTTGGAGCGCTGCCTTCATCTCCTTGAACTGAGCCAACTGGCAGGCCTCCTCCAGCCCCAGCCAGCGGTAGGCTTGGTGCTCATGGGAGAGGCGGATCTCCACGTCATAGTCCTTCACCTCCGCCAGCCAGTAAATGACTGTTTTAGGCTTGTTCCTGGCCACATAATTGAGTTCCCTTTTGAACCCCTCAATAATGGTCAGCTGGCCTGCTTCTATGCCTGCTTCCTCTTGGGTCTCCCTCAGGGCTGTTTCCAAGTCATCCTCTCCTGGTTCCACATGGCCTAGTTAGGAGAAAAGAGGAAGAAAAGGAGGAGGAAATCTTCCAAAGTTCCCAAAGCTGGATTTTCCAGACAAGATTTTTTTTTTTTTCTGTTTTGCTTTGAGACAGGGACTCACTCTGTTGCCCAGGCCAGAGTGCAGTAGTGCAATCAGCTCACCGCAGCCTTGAATTCCTGGGCTCAAGTGATCCTCCCACCTTAGCCTCCTGAGTATTCAGAACAACAGGCATGTGCCACCATGCCCAGCTATTTATTTATTTATTTATTTATTTGGTAAAGATGGGGTCTCACTATATTTCCCAGGCTGGTCTCAAACTCCTGGCCTCAAGTCATCCTCCTGCCTCAGCCTCCCAAAGTGTTGGGATTACAGGTATGAGCCACCACACCCAGCCATTCAGTGACTTTTCTAGGTGTTGCTAAAGGAAGCCTGGAGATTGGCAATATCCTAACATGCCTGGGAAGGGGGTGCAGGGCAGGTAGTGTCTAGTTCTCGGGGTTTGAGCAATCCCACCTTTCCATTCCCTCTTCTCTGCAGAGAGTGAAACAGACCATGTGTATAGCAAGTCAGGTTTAGAATACTGCTCTTTTATGGTGTGAGATGACCTTCTTCAGACGTCTGCTTTCTTATTCTTCGGAACTTTCTTCATCCCATGCTCTAAGGAATCACTTTTCTATTGGAGACCTTGAAGTGATTTTTCCAAGGAGGGGGAAGTCCTTTCTTAACAAGTGGAAGTTAGCTGACGAGGAAGTACTTTGCCTACAATCCAGTGAGGACTTAACATTGTCTGCAGGTGGACCCTGACATTCCAGGGCCAACAGGCTCAAAACCCTGCACGGCTGAATGAGCAGCTGTTTCCATGAAGCTATCAAGGCTTTTTCCAAATTGTTTTCCTCTTTCTTACTGGGCAAAGCCAGATTTCAGTTTCATAGGGAAACTCTTGATGGGAACTTAGACTAAGGGCCAGCTGAGAACCACTTCTAAGAAAATGTGTTAGCAACACCCAAACCCAAGAAGACAGCTGCCAAGAAACTGCTGTAGGAGAACTTGAAGCTCTGCAGACTGGAGCAGCTCTCAGCTTTACCTCTAGTCCCCTCCCACAAATCTTCAGCTTCCCCAGAGGGGGCAAAGACTGGGAACGGTCTGGCAGACTCTGTCTACACCTTGGCTCCAGTAAGTTTCTAGGGAGGCCTCCTGCTCACAGGCTCATGGCGAGCAGGAACTCAGTTGTTCTCTCCTTGGTTTGGAGATGGGGGCCCTCATCCTTCCCAGGGGTCTACAATGCCCAGAGCCAGCTGCTGCACAAAAAACTCCCCAGGGTCCAGGGGCGGTGGCTCATGCCTGTAATCCCAACACTCTGGGAGGCCGAGGCGGGTGGATCATCTGAGGTCAGGAGTTTGAGACCAGCCTGGCCAACATGGTGAAACCCTGTCTCTACTAAAAATACAAAAATGAGCTGGGCGTGGCAGTGGACATCTGTAATCCCAGCTACTCGGGAGGCTGAGGCAGGAGAATCACTTGAGCCCAGGAGGCGGAGGTTGCAGCGAGCCAAGATTGTGCCATTGTACTCCAGTTTGGGCAACAGAGCGAGACTCCGTCTCAAACAAACAAACAAAACCCCCAGAAACTTAGCACTTAAAAACCATTCTAGCTTATAGCTTCTGGGGAATTTTCTCTGCACAAGCACCTCCTATAGTGGTGTACACAAAGACAGACAGGTAATGCATCAGGGGAGCAAGGTGGGAGGGATGCTAGTAGTGATGGGTGATACTGACTCAGGACGTCCTACCTCCCCTCAGAGGTGTATGGAAGTCCCTGAGCACACCCCTCCCAGGGGCATCTATTCAGTATTCTGTCCATCAGTGTTAATTAACAGGGTAGCTTCTGCCGAAGCAGGAAAGGATTAGGAGAGGTCCACTGACATCAGGTAGTGAGAGGAACAAGGCAGTGTGACTCATGTGATCCGGAGACAAGTGTGAATATTCCTATTCATAGTATTTGTGAAGCTTCTGCCTCTTTTTTCACCTTGTTTCTCCCCAGTACAACTCAAACATGCAAAATTTATTTCCTGTTCCCATTTCCTTGTTTTCCTTCAATCCTGGATCTTTGTCCATCCCTTCTAACCCCACTCCCTTTTAAAGTCCCCGCTTCTGGCCAGGCGTGGTGGCTCATGCCTATAATCCCAGCACTTTGGGAGACCAAGTGGGCAGATCACTTGAGCCCAGGAGTTCAAGACCAGCCTGGGCAATATAGTAAGACCCTGTCTCTATAAAATAGTAATAATAATAACAAAATAATTTAAAAAATAAAGTCCCTGCTTCCTTCTGTCTGAGGGCTATTCCTCATTCCAGCAGGCACCTGAGCCACAGTCTGTCCCTCCCAACTCAAACCATCCCAATGGCCTCAGCCAAGAAGGGCTCCTTTTTCCCATTTCTCCCCACACAGCCTGGCTTCTCTTTCAGGACCAAATGACTGCAGCTTTCTTACTCTTAGAGGTGAGGTCAGGAGTGCTGGTGGATGAAAACTGGCCAGCTTACAAACAGATCTTGGCCTGGCCTAAGGCCTCAGGCCAGTAGTCTTCACTGTTCTTCCCACTGGAGACTTGCCCGACTCCACCCTCAGTGCTGAGTGATAGACTCAAGGCACAGGTAGCTAGCTGGTCAAGCTGCAATCTCAAGGTCTCCATAATCTTTACAGTCTAAGAAGGCCCTGCCCATCCCCTCCTGGTCTAAGAAGGCCCTGCCCATCTCCTCACTCCTCCACTCCTGCCACAATCTGCAGATGAATCTATGATCAGGGAGCCCAACTTCTCTATGCTCCAACTCAAAATACAACTATGTTCAGAAACACTGTAGAACTCATACTCTCTGTGTTTAGTTCAAAAGAAAAACCTGGCTGGGTGCGGTGGCTCACGCCTGTAATCCCAGCACTTTGGGAGGCTCAGACGGGCAGATCACCTGAGGTCAGGAGTTTGACACCAGCCTGGCCAACATGGTGAAACCCCGTCTCTACTAAAAATACAAAAAATTAGCCAGGCGTGGTGGTGGGCGCCTGTAATCCCAGCTACTCAGGAGGCTGAAGCAGGAGAATTGCTTGAACCTGGGAGATGGAGGTTGCAGTGAGCTGAGATTGCCCCACTGCTCTCCAGCCTGGGCGACAAAGCGAGACTTTGTCTCAAAAAAAAAAAGAAAAGAAAAACCTAATGATAGGGACACTGAACTAGGAGTCAAAGGAAATTGATCAAATGAAATCAGAGACAGGCTGGAAGAAAACTTAGGATTTTCTTTTTTTTGAGACAGGCTCTGTTGTCCAGGCTGGAGTGCTGTGGCACAATCTCGGCTCACTGCAGCTTTGATCTCTCGAGCTCAAGTTATTCTCTAACCTCAGCCTCCTGAGTAGCTGGGACTACAGGTGTGCACCACCACACCTGGCTAATTTTTGTATTTTTTGTAGAGACATGGTTTTGCCATTTTGCCCAGGCTGGTCTCGAGCTCCTGGGCTCAAGCAATCTGCCCACCTCGACCTCCAAAAGTGCTGGGATTATAGGCGTGTGCCACTGTGCCTGGCTGAAAACAGGATTTTCTAGTCAAGCCCTTGTTTGACAGATGAAAAACTCAAAGCTGAGAGGTGGGCACATAGCTCAGTCAACCTCAAGGTCCCCAATTCCCTGCCCACTGTTTTTTCTCTTACCCAGCCATTCACCACAGAGGTTGGAGAGCTGGCGAATGATACTCATAAAAACACCAGGTGCTGTTTCTACCCTGGAATTCAGTCACAGAATTCTCAGCTCTACTCTGGCCTGGTCTGGAGACCTTGTATGTAGAAAGGGTCAAGAGCTCCTACCTTCCCTACCCCTTTTTGCTACACAGTCACTGGGAATTAAGCCTTGGGGAGGGCCTGGCAGGGTAGATTTCTGAGCAGTGGTTGGCAGTTTCCCAAGAGCTGGCCCCTCTGGCCTCTACCTTTGGGAGGAGTCCAGTGATGAATGCCATCTGATGCCTGCAGCAGTAAAAACTCAATTGCATTGTTGTCCACTTTGGGAATGAGGCATCTTCGGAAGATGATCAAGCCACATGCTCTCAAGGCCATGGTCTTATCCTAAGGACTTAACAAAGAAGATACAGAATATTGGGAAGTTACACAAAATAGGAAGCTCCATACTGGGGGGTAGCAATCTGGTGATGGACAGTAATGCAGACTAGCTAACTGTGATCTCATAGCCCACAGAAAAAGGCAGCATGCCCAGGACCAATGGAAGGCATCCAGGAATCAGAGACTGACCTTTGTGTATAACTGCAGGACCCTGGCAACTACCCTCAGTCAATGTGGCCTCTATCCCAACTCCTCCAGGGCTCCCTGTAAAACAGGGCTGGCATGTGTTTGTTGTGACACTGGAGATCCTCAGAAGCAAACGCACTGAAACAAGAGAGATGTTGGGAATGGGAGAGAGGCAGTACAAGTTTTATCGTCAAACCTGTAACCCCATTTCCCCCAGCCCATATCCTGAGCCCCTGAAGCACAGAACCCCCCAGCAGTGTGGTTTCTGACAATGCAGAGAGGTCATCTACAGAGAGTAACTTCATATAGAAAAAAATATTTCGTTGAGTTTTTTTTTTTTTTTGAGACAGGGTCTAGCACTGTTGACCAGGCTGGAGTGCAATGGTGTGATCATGGCTCACTGCAGCCTTGACCTCCCAGGCTCAAGCAAACCTCCCACCTCAACCTCTCAAGTAGCTGGGACTACAGGCATGCCACCACCATGCCTGGCCAATTTTTTTTTTTTTTTTTTTTTTTTTTTTTTAGAGACAGGGTCTCACTATATTGCCCAGGCTGATCCTGAACTTCTGGGCTGAAGTGATCCACCTACCTCAGCCTCCCAATGTGTTGGGATTATAGACATGAGCCACCATGCCCAGTCTGATTTTTTTTAGTCTTTTATTTTATCCTTTTTTTTTTTTTTTTTTTTTTTTTTAAGAAACAGGGACTTACTATGTTGCCTAGACTGGCCTCAAACTCCCAAACAGAAGTGGTCCTCTCCCTGGGTGGATCACGAGGTCAAGAGATTGAGACCATCCTGGCCAACATGGTGAAACCCTGTCTCTACTAAAAATACAAAAATTAGCCGGGTGTGGTGGCACACACCTGTAATCCCAGCTACTCGGGAGGCTGAGGCAGGAGAATTGCTTGAACCCGGGAGGCGGAGGTTACGGTTGTGGTGAGCCGAGATCGGGCCACTGCACTCCAGCTTGGCGACAGAGTGAGACTCTGTCTCAAAAAAAGAAGTGGTCCTCCCCCCTTAGCCTCCTGAGCAGCTGGCAATACAGGCACATGCCACCATTGCCTGACATTGCTGGTGCCCGGGGGTTGCACAGCTGATGCAGAGAGGGCAGCTGGAGCAGGAGCTGCTATCCTCCACAGTCCCTTTGCTGGTGCTCAATCAAGATGAATTTGCAGCTATCAAAGGCATAAAAATCAGGCCCAAACAGAAACCTACTCCAGGGCAATTCTCAAGACTGCCAACAGATGGTAATGTTACTCTAGAGAATAGCGGTTTCTCACCAAAAACCAAACACCCAACACCAAGACCTTTCCAAGCTTTTCTAAACCTGTAACAAAAGTTTTTAAGGACTGGAAATAATCTCAAAGGGGATTTCTGAAATGGTCTGTGCTCTCATATACTGTTGGTAGAAAAGTAAATTAGCATATCCCCTTAGGAGGGCCATTTGATAATAATTATCAAAACATAAAATGCACATTCCCTAAGAGCCAGCAATTCCATTTCTAGCCACTCTCACATAAGAAATATAGGTTTAAGATGTACACACAACGGGCCGGGCACAGTGGCTCATGCCTGTAATCCCAGCACTTTGGGAGGCCAAGGCGGGTAGATCACCTGAGGTCAGGAGTTCAAGACCAGCCTGACTAACATGGAGAAACCCCGTCTCTACTAAAAATACAAAAATTATCCAGGCGTGATGGCACACGCCTGTAATCCCAGCTACTTGGGAGGCTGAGGCAGAAGAATCACTTGAACCCGGGAGGTGGAGGTTGTGGTGAGCCGAGACGGGGCCACTGAATTCCAGCCTGGGCAACAAGAGCGAAACTCTGTCTCAAAAAAAAAAAAAAAAAAAAGATGTACATATAACAATGTTCACTACAACTTTGTTTGCAATATCAAAAAGGAAAAGAGCCAGAAACAAATATCCATCAATATGGGAATAGGCAAAAAGTACAGTATATCTATATGATGAAATAGCATGAAGTCATTAAAAAAAATGAGGTCGAGGCTGGGTTCAGTGGCTCGAGCCTTTAATCCCAGCATTCTGGGAGGCTGAGGCAGGAGGATTGCCTGAGCCCAGGAGTTTGAGACCAGTCCGGACAACACAGTGAGACCTTGTCTCTCAAAAAATAGAAAAAAAATTAGCCAGGTATGGTGGCATGCACCTGTACTTCCAGCTACTTGGGAGGCCAACGTGGGAAGATTGCTTGAGCCTGGAAGGTTGAGGCTACAGTGAGCCATGTTTGCACCAATGCACTCCAGCCTGGGCAATACAGTGAGACCTTGTCTCAAAAACAAAAGAAAAAGAAAAAAAAATTAGGTCAAGCCTAATGTACTGCTTGTAAGAAAAATTTTTAGACACATGAAAAGGAGACAGTTCTGAATAGCATGTATAATGAAATCCCTGTTTGAGTTTACAAATTCATATATAAAGTGGTAGGCTTTCATTTTTCTATTCTATTTCATTGTTCTATTTTCCTGGACTCCCTATTTATGTCAAGAACTTACCCCATTCCAGAAGCCAAAAGGAAGCACCCCATCACTGTAGAACTGGTGAACAAAGATCTCATATTATTGGTCCGTGGTTGAGGCAGAAACAGGTAGCTGATCCCATGCCCTCCCTATAAAGATGCTCAAAAAGCATTAGAAAGTTATAGATGTGGGGTACCTTGCTCCTGCCTCAGGTCCCATGGAATGTTAGAACCCCTAAATAAGCTTAGGGATCCAAGACTAGAGGGTCCCATGGAATGAATGTTAGAACCCCTAAATAAGCTTAGGGATCCAAGACTAGAAGGTCCCATGGAATCAATGTTAGAACCCCTAAATAAGCTTAGGGATCCAAGACTAGAGGGCACAGTGCCCTGCCTAAGACAGGAACTCCATACCACTGCCACCATCAACACAACATGGACAAGCAAAGATGCCTGCATGGGGAGCCAAGAAAGACAAGCCTGGGTTAGCCACATGGAACCACTGGGGAGAGGAAAGCAGCGGTGGGGTGGGGGAGGAATCTTAGGGTAGTGACAAGGGTGTACCCTAGCAAGAATGTATTTCAGTGGATGCCAGTGTATTAGGGATGACCACATCTAAGAACCACATCAGCTAACAGTTAATCTCAATGGCGCCAGAAGAGCTAGGATCAGATGCTCATTCTCCATCTATATTCTGGACCCATGGAAAGAACAGTTCTTCTAGAAATACAGAACTCCTCACTGCTCTTTCAATTGCTTGGCTTGAGCCAGCTATTCTCTAGAATTCCTCCTACCCACTCTATACACACAACCTCCTACTCGTCAGAAGCAGCTCAGATGTCACCTCCTCTGTGAAGCTTTCTGGCTTCTAATCACTTCCATGCTCTGCATCCTTAACACGGCTTGAACAAATTTAAAGTTCAATCAGGGAAGCAAACGCTATGAGTGACAGAAAACTAAAGATTTATTATAAGGAGTAGACACTGTGTATCTTTGGAAGTTGGTGGATAAATCCATGCAACTCTGCTGCCTCTGCACCTGGTGTTGGGCCCGAAGTCTGTGAGGCCAGCAGTTGGGAAGAAAACTGGATGTGAGGTGGAAGAGAACAAAGACAAACTGGAACCTCTGAGAACAAACTGGGATCTACAAGGACAACTGGAACTCATGAGGACAAACTGAAACCCACAACTTCCTTTCACTGGTCCCAAGCTCAGTGACTCAGGTGATCTGGAGAAGCCGGAGCCCTCTGCTACAGAGCTGACTGCACACATGGCCCAGGACTCAGAGGAGCTGAAGGAGGAAATTCAGTAGGAGCTAGGGGTGCTGGGGGCTGTGTGATGACCTTCACCAACAAGGTGAGCCAGATCAGAGAGAAAGTACAGGTACTGCCACTATGCCTGGTACCCTGCTCTGTCCTTCACAGCGTACAGACCCTGCTCTGTCCTTCACAGTGTACTGGCTGCTACTTCAATTCAGCTTTCCAAATCTCTCACGAAATTTTCTTGTGGACAACCCTCACCTGGAAGCAGATAGGAAGGATACTGGGAATCCAGCTTAGCTAAACTGACACAGTACAATGCCACCACAAGCACATATACCTAGTATAGTAAATCTCTGCTGGTACCTCTGGCAGGGAAGAGACAGATTATAAGCTCTGTTTTCTTGGGACCCAGCACAGCAGTTCTGAACAGATGTTCATTGACTCAAAAGAACTCTCTCCCCACCTCCCACTCAAACAAATGTTTGAGTATGTTCTGGGGCCCTGGGAAATAGCCCAGTGTTTTCCTGAAGAGTGCCATTTACATAAAAGTGAATGGAACTATTGTTGGGGGTTTTCTGTTTTTCTGGAGACCACAAAGCTGAAACTGTTCATGGGTTTGAAAGTAGCCAGCTTTCACACACAGACTCCAAGTGGATTCAAACCTCAGGGGGTTAAGGAACACAGCATCCAATATGCAAATATGCCTGCAGCCAGGATTGCGGAGGTGAGAACTCCAGGCTGACAGCAGGCAATTCACACTTCAAAAAAGTGGCAGAGTGCCTGAGGTGGTTAGAAAAAACCTGAACAAAAAAACCTTCAATGTCATTAGAAGGTTCTAGAAGCTAAGGAAAAATATTCTCGGCTTTCTCCATAAATACAATTCCCTCAGAGCCTAGGAGGTTCGGGACCTAGGTACCAAAAAAAGAATTTACAAATACATGGCTATGCTGTTTGTTTCAATATTTTCATCAAATTAATCAGAGTAACTGTAAAAAGCCCTCAGAAATGTAACTTTAGGTACAGGAAGAGCTCTCCAAATTTTCCCTCTGACCTGTTCTCCATATTCTAATATCCCTTTAGCAGAAACAGTGTTTCATGCCGCGTTGTCAATTAAGCATCTATATATACTGTGCCAGCTATACTGTGCAAGACTTTTGACAACTATTGTTTCTAAAGCTCAAAACAACCTTTCAAGAGAAGCATTATTATATCTAATTTACAAGGACACTGATATTATTTCAAAAGGTTAAAATACTTGCATAAGGGCATAGCTGGCCTGTAAAGGATGGGATTTCAATCCAAGTAAGTCTAACTCCAAAGTCTATAATTTTTGTCCCTTTCATAGCTCTGTTCACCATGAAAGAGTAGGGCTTAGGACACAAATGGCCCTGAGAGAGGACAGACAAGATTTATAAAATCATTTCCAGTTTCAAAATTCCCAGTCCTTTTTTTTTTTTTTTTTTTTTTTTTTTTGACAATGTCTCTCTGTGTCATCCAGACTGGAGGGCAATGGTATGATCACAGCTCACTGCAGCCTCAAGAGCTCACTGCATCCCTTCTGGGCTCAAGGAATTTTCCTGTCTTAGCCTCCTGGGTAGCTAGGACTACAAGCAGGAGCCATCACATCTGGCTAAATTTAAAAAACACTTTTTTTGTAGAGATGGGGTCTTGCTATGCTGACCAAGCTAGTCTTGAACTCCTGGCCTTAAGTGACCTTCCCACTTTGGCCTCCCAAAGTGCTGGGATTACAGGTGCAATCTACTGTGCCTGGCCCCAAATTCCCAGTCTTTAATCTATATTCCTTTGGAGGTTAAGATGTCTAGCTGGGATCATTTCCACCAAAAAGGTTTTAGTTGGGGGGAGAGGGCCGTAGATGTTAAATCCTGGTATCCGAAGAAGACTCTGAAGGAGGGGTAAAATGTAGCCTCAGGCTCCTAATAGCACCCATCTCAAAAGGGTTTCTATGCCTCCTCTGCTCTTTTCTGGGAAGTAGGAACCTAAAACCACATGTTCCACTTAACTTAGGGCACTAGTGTCCAGAAAATTTGCCCAGACCCTCCTCCAGATGAGGAGGAAAGCCAACTGTTTGCCTGCCCACAAGCAATTCTATGTGACTGCAATTCTATGTGACTACTCCCTCACCTCCCACATCATCATCATCTTTTTTCCAATTTGCCAGTTTCTTTCTTCCCTTTTGGAGTGGACAGAAATGAGGCACCCACCCATGAGTAAAGCTCTTTCTTGTAAGAACAATAACAAATGGAAGAGAAGAAAAAAGAAAGAAATGCAAAAGAAAAGCCCCAACTACCATGAATAAATTGAGACAAAGAAAATATTCCCTCAAATGCACCTTTCCCTGGACATCTGCCACTCCATTCTTGCAGAGACGAAGCTGCTGAGTCATTTTGTTATTTTTGCTATTGGCTGAGGGAGGAAACAGGAGATTTTACCTGTAATGGCATAAATATTGGCTTCTAGGATAAGGCCAAAGTCAGACAAGGTTGGGACAAAAATCATTCTTAGTGAAGGGGATTTGTTAAGCAGCCTATTAGTGCCATCTGCTGTACAATTCTAGAAAGCTAACTCGGGGAATTTGTCTGTTGTGCGTATCCCATGCGACAGACAGTGTGAAGGATTGACAGATAGATATGAAGCTGAATACTACCAAGCACCAACTTCCTAGAGATTTACAGGCTAGTGAAAGTGGAAGACATTCCAACAGACAAGTTACAGTGTGTTTTGTGCAACGTAAGATGGAAAGGCAGCAAAGAAGCATCTTTAGGTTAACAAGGTACCCCATAAGGATTCTGATGGGTCACTAGTTTACCAGGCAGAAGGGAGGCGGATGCAAGGCACTGCCAGCAAAGGGAGGAGTGTGGGCAACACCCTCAAGCACAAAATGACATCTCATTGGTAAACAGCTTAGTTTATATTCTGTAGGCAATGAAGCCTCTGACTGGTTTTAGGCAAGGGTATAATTTGGTCAGACTGACATTTTACAAAGATATTCTAGCTGCAAGCAAGCTGGGGAACGAATTAGGACAGATTGGAGGCAGAGAGATTAACCAGTTACAAGTCTATTGCAACAGACCAGTTAACAAATGATTCCAGTTAGATCAAGGCAGAGGCTGTGAGAAAGGAAAGGAAGGGATGAATCTGAGAGATATTTCAAAGTAAAATGGACAATAGTGATATTTCATTGTCTAAGGGACAGAGAGATGTTTCATAAGCCAAGGGAAAGAGAAAGGCTTTGGTTTGAGTGCCTGGGTGGAGGAGGGGGTGCAAGTGAAGCATTTGTTTGGGACAAGTTGAATTTGAAGTGCTATAGTCTATCCATAAGATAAATGAACAGATGGGTCTAAAGTTCAGTGATCATCTCATCCTATCTCTTCATTTCCCAAGGTGGGAATTTACTTTTTTAAAATTATTTTTATTAAAACAATTTTTTTCTCCTCCCTTCTCTACCAAGACCACGGTGAAAATTTTCTATTAGAGCAAGATATTGCTCCTACCATAGGTACCTCTGCAGCTCACATTCCCTCCAATTTAGGTAAGTCAAGCTGTCCAACCTGCCCCTGCATCTGTCTGGTATTCCAAGCATTTTCATCCTCCTTTAGTCAGAAACACAGAAAAGCATGGCTGTCTATGCAGTCAGAAAGGCCTAGCTATTGAAGTTAATAGAGCAAGATACTTAGAGCAAGATACTTAACTTCCTCATTTGTAAAATGAAGTTAACACCTACTTTGCATGGTTGTTGTGGAGTTTATAAATGACATATATAGAGGGTCTGACATTATCAGAGGTACTAAATATATGAGTTACTGTTACCCGTGTGTCATAAAAGATCATCAAAAAGCTTCTCTGTTTTAAAGAAATGACTTTTCATCTTGTCTGTTAAACTGCTCAACACTGTTCACCACAGTATATATATTCCTTATAAGGTCCCACAGCATAAATTCCTTTTAATATAGAAACTAGAAAAATAATTTATCTTTTGAAGAATGGATTTGTTTCCTTATTAGTAAGAATTACCTTTTTTCCCTTAACTGACTAATTTTGGGCAAAATTGGGTACTCAGTTACAAAAAGTACACCAACGCACTGACTAGTGTATTTGCCTGTTCTTATTATAAGAATAATAGCTACCTTTTTTTTTTTGAGACGGAGTCTCCCTCTGTCGCCCAGGCTGGAGTGCAGTGGTGCGATCTCTGCTCTCTGCAAACTCCGCCTCCCGGGTTCGTGCCATTCTCCTGCCTCAGCCTCCCGAGTAGCTGGGACCACAGGCGCCCGCCACCACGCCCGGCTAATTTTTTGTGTTTTTAGTAGAGACGGGGTTTCACCGTGTCAGCCAGGATGGTCTCGATCTCCTGACCTCGTGATCCGCCCGCCTCGGCCTCCCAAAGGGCTAGGATTACAGGCGTGAGCCACCGCGCCCGGCCGCTACCATTTTTTAAGAAGTTACTACTCGCCAGGCGTTGTGTCAAGTGCTTTACCTTCATTATTTCACTTAATCTTCACAACAACCCGCTGAGGCATTACTGCCATTTTTCAGAAGAGTAGAAAGGGAACTATAGCTCAGAGATGTCTGGGTAAGTGACTCAAATGTAGGTCTGCCTGACTCCTAACATCAATGATCTTAACCTTAACTCTATAATAGCGTTTTACATTTGACAATTTGATTGCATTCAGTTTTTTTTTGTTTTGTTTTGTTTTTGAGACGGAGTCTCGCTCTGTCGCCCAGGCTGGAGTGCAGTGGCGCGACCTCCGCTCACTGCAAGCTCCGCCTCCTGGGTTCATGCCATTCTCCTGCCTCAGCCTCCCGAGTAGCAGGGACTATACGTGCCCGCCACGACGCCTGGCTAACTTTTGTATTTTGTTTAGTAGAGACGGGGTTTCACCGTGTTAGCCAGGATGGTCTCGATCTCCTGACCTCGTGATCCGCCCGCCTTGGCCTCCCAAAATGCTGGGATTACAGGCGTGAGCCACCGCACCCGGCCTGCATTGTTTACGCTGTCCCTTTTTTGTTTGTTTGTTTAAGGCGGTGGGGCTCTTGTTCGACTTTCTTTACTTCTGCTATAACTGCCACGATATTATCCATTCAATAACTGAAGCAATTAGAAAACATAAAATCTCTTTTGGAAAGCAGGCGGGGTTTAATGGGTAGCAACAAGTGAAACTGAGGCCCAGGGAGGGGAAGGTTCGGCGCCTGGGCCTCTGGGCCCTAAACCTGGACCTCTCCCGCCTCTGGGATTTGGACGACCCACCCTATCCCCACTCCGACGGGGACAAGCAAGGCTCAGAGTCAGGGAACCTCCCTTCTCCCGGTGCAGACAGGAAAACTGAGGTCCTGAGAGCGGATGGGACCTGGCCTGCCCACACCTCACTGCCAACTTAGAGGAGGGCGCATCCCTCTCGGGCCCTGCAGCGACCAGAGGTTTGCCAGAGGCAGATTCCCATCGCTCCAAGGCTCATTTCCTCCACTGAGAACTAAAATCAAGTGGGCCCTTAAGGGTACTCACCCGAAGCAGAAGGAGGTAGGAGGCGGACCTTGGACGGAAACTGAAGTACACCGGCCAATCAGAAGAGCCTGGTTACGCTTGGGCCCATCAATAGAATTCGGCAGAAGGATCTTCGACCCGCCTCAAAGGTGCGCGTCTCACACTGAAACGTCGCGAGATCTTCCCTCAAGCGGAACGATTGGCTGAAGGTCGGAAATTGAGAGTTACGCCCACGGTTTCTTCAGACCTCTGATTGGTCTTCCAGAGGAGAAGTCAACGAACGTCAACCGATTCCTTGGATGCCCATTGGTGGGCGGTGCGGGACTGGCGACGCGCGGGCCACAGCGCGGGCGTTCGAACTGGCGCTTGGCGGCGTTGCCATGGAGATGCGGCCTGGCCGCCGCCGGTGGCTCCCGGGTTGACGGGACTGTTAGGTTGCGGGCTTTGGGGCTCACTCCCGACGGCATTGTCTTCTCCTCTTCTCAGACAGGGCAGACCGAGGAGTTTGGACCGAGGTGAGAAAGGGCGGGGAGAATAGAGGAGGGGTAGGTCTGGTCCGGAACCGTGGCGCCTGCCCGCGGACACGGGTGCGCGTGACGTCGGCTGAGCGCGGGAGGAAACTGGCAGTTGTGAGGGAACCGAGAGTTGGCCCCTCTTGGCTCTTCCTAAAGTTCACCTACTTTCCTATCTTTCATCCCCATATCTCTGCCTTTTCTTCAGCAATTATCTTGAACGCCACTTCTCTCACTTTGGGAGACTAAACTCTTGAGTCCCAAAGCCTTCTTGCTTTTGAACCGATAAGCCTGACCGGCACCTCTTTTAGGGCATTTCTATTCGCCCTTGGGTTGTTTACTTCCGGGAAGCCCGTTCGCTTCCCTTTTCCCATAAAATTTTGAAGCCTTTGAGGTAAGGCAAGCATCGTTCACAATGTCTTGCACATAGTAGATTTTCAGGAAATATTTGTTGAGTTGAATTTAATTTACAAGAAATAGATTGGATTCCTCTTCATGCCCTGCCTTGTTGTCTCTCTGCTTCAGAGACGATTTTTTATTTCGAGGCTAGGGGGAGGCCACCCTAATCTTCAATGCAAAAGGACCTAAAAGTCCACACACAGTCCACAGCTGGCCTTTCTACTCTTTGTGAAAGGCTAAACTTTTTTGGATTGGTTGCTGCAACTCTTCCTGCATCTGTGGCTTTTAGCCTTGGTCTCCCAATAATTTTATTAGACTCCTTTTAGTCTTTGCTTAAAATAAACCATTCTGTTGCTGTATGCCAAGATAATTTATCTCCCTTTAGCTTCTTAGTGACCGGCAGCTATTGTCACATTTTAAGTGTGCTTTGGAAAATGTTTTAAAGCATCTTCTTTGTACTTGTATTCTACAAGTAGAGAGGCTTTGTAGTCTCTCTATTGAAGTGCATATAACAGCTGCTCAGGTGAACTCCATCTATTCATCAGGTGTCTATGATAGAATTGCGTTCCTAAGACTGTTTCGTTGTTAACTCATGGATTATATATTCACAGCCTGATTGTTGGTGTGATTGCTCCTTATATCAAATTCATAGCTCACTGGTGGCCTTAATAAAAGGAGTGAAAAAGTTCAGTACAGCAGCTATGTTCTTGTTACCCTTTTATAAAAGTTTGAAACACTACCTTATAGCTGTGACATGTAGTGGAAACCCACTACATGTGGGTTTGGCTTTGGCTCTGTCTCTGTCTCTAATTCACTGTGGGTGGCTTTGCAAGTCATTTAGTCCCTTTATTATTATTATTATTTTTTTTTTATTAGAGAAAATGTCTTGCTCTGTCACCCAGGCTGTAGTGCACTAGCATGATAATAGCTCACCGCAGCCTTGAACGCCTGAATCTAGCCCCTTTAGACCTCATTTTTTCCATCTGGAAAATCAAAGAATTGAATTAGATTAAAATTCCTGTGGCTCTACTCTCAAGTCAAGTAGTTGATGTCAGGTAGACCACACACTCTCAGCCTTCCAAAGACCATACAGACTTTTTTTTTAGCTGCTGAAAGTAGTAGTTACCATTTATTGAGTGTTCACCCCGTACAAAGCACTGTATCCAGGGCTTTATATGCATATTACATTTTTCTTAGTGTAGCACATTACTGCTAAGATAGCATTTTATTTAAAATTTGTGGTTTTATATTGTTAATGAAAATCTTTAGTTATTCAGAGTGTGTCCTTGGGGCAACCTAAGGTATGAGCCTCTCAGTTTTTAGTTTAGGGAGAACCACAGTTTCTTTCTCTGGGCTGCTCTTTTGTCGTAAAGTGAGGGGCTGAACTCTTCTAGATCCCTTCCAGATCTAGTATTCTATGATGCCTGATATATTAATCCAGTTTCCCTATGCTGGCTCAGCAAACCAGTTTATAATTTGCACAGTGTAGATCCTCAACACATTTTGTTAAATAAATAATAGAGTTCTACTTCTTAAACCTTGAGTGTATGGTCATTGTATACCTCCCAAGTTACTGTCTCAAGGGTTTTGATGTTCATATCGTGTTGAATAAGAAGAGTTTTCTGTAGGTATAAACTAATAATAATAGTATAATATATTGTTGAGTGTTTATATATCAGACACTGAATGTAGCAGTTAATTTACATTATTCTAATTAACCCTCATGAAAGGAAACATTTTTTCCAAGTCAGCATTTTTTTTTGTCAGTTCAGTGCAGTAGCTTCCTAAATGATCTCCCTGTTTCCACTTTTGCCCACCTGCTGTGATCCATTTCCTCACAGAACTGGGAGAGTGAACTTTGAAGACGAATCATAGCATATACTTTCTCCACTTAAGATCCTCTAATGACTTCCTACTTCACTTAAAAGTAAAATTCAGACACTTTTATGTGGCCCAGTACACCCTACATAATCTGGCCCCTACCTTTCTCTCCTCTTCTCATACTATTCTCCTTCTCACCTACTATGCCAGCCAACCTGTCCGTGTTTGATGGCTTGATTTTGCCATGCTCATTTCCACCTTTGGGCTAATGTGCTCACGTGGAACCCTCTTCCTCCTGATTTTTACATAAGTGACTCCATGTTATTTCAGGTTTCACCTCAAATATTCCCTTCTGAATGAAGCCTTCTCTGATCATCCAATGTAAAGTAAGCCCTGCACTGGGCTTTATTCTTCGGTAGTGATTATCATCATCTAAAACTACCGCTTATTGATTATTAATTATCTCTTCCCATTAAAATAATAGTGTCATGAGGGCAGGGACCTTATCTGTTTTTTGGGGGGTTTTCTTGAGACAGGCTCTTACTCTGTCGCCCTGTTGCCCACACTGAACTGCAGTGGTGTGATCATGGCTCACTGTAGCCTCTGACTCCCAGGCCCAAGCAATCCTCCCACCTCAGCCCCCCAAGTAGCTGGGACCACAGGCATGTACCACCATGCCCAGCTAATTTTGTTTATTTGTAGAGACAAGGCCTCACTATGTTGTCCAGGCTCATCTCAAACTCCTGGGCTCAAGCAATCCTCCCTCAGCCTCCTAAAGTGTTGGGATAACAGGCATGAGCCACTGTGCCTGGCTGACCTTGTCTGTTTTGTTCACTTATATTCCTGGTGCATAAAACAGGGCCTATCTCATACAAGTCTCTCAAAAAATATTTCTTGAAGATTGGATAAAGTTTCCTCTTGGAACTGTAACCATATCTGTGTCCATATCAATTCATTTGAGTAATACAAACTTGCATAATTTTGGTGTCCAGGAGCAGTGACTCAGGGCACCAGCATCTCTGTCACAATTTTCCTGAGTAATCAAATTACCCTGATAAATAGTTTCTACCACCCGTTACCACAAACGATATCAAATGCTTTTATAGAGTTTTAATATACTGTAGGGATATTTATTCATTAAACAATTATTGAATATTATTTCCAATCACTCTTTTATTTATTTATTTATATTTTTTTCTGAGATAGTCTTACTCTGTTGCCCAGGCTGGAGTGCAGTGGCGCAATCTTGGCTCACTGCAACCTCTTCCTCCCAGGTTCCAGCGATTCTCATGTCAGCCTCCTGAGTAGCTGGGATTACAAAGTGTGTGCCAACATTCCCAGCTAATTTCTGTATTTTTTGTGGAGATGGGGTTTCACCATGTTGACCAGGCTGGTCTCGAACTTTTGGCCTCAAGTGATCCACCCACCTCAGCCTCCCAAAGTTCTGGGATTACAGGCATGAGCCACCGTGCCTGGCCCCAGGCACTGTTTTAGAACCTGGGTATAAAAAGACTAATAAGACATATTGCTTTTTTTTTTTTTTTGAGACGAAGTCTCACCCTACTGCCCAGGCTGGAGTGCAGTGGTGTCATCATGGTTCACTGCAGCCTCAACCTCCTGGGCTCAAGTGATCCTCCCATCTCAGCCTCCCAAGTAGCTGGGACCACAGGTGTGTGCCACCATGCCCAATTAATTTTTATTTATTTACTTATTTATAGAGATGGGTTCTCCATATGTTGCCCAGGCTGGTCTTAAACTCCTGGGCTCAAGTGATCTTTCTGCCTCAGCCTCCCAAAGTGCTGGGATTACAGGTGTGAGCCACTCTGCCTGGGCAAGACACATTCCTTGACCACAAAGAAATTATACTCTATTAGGGGAAATAGACATAATCAAATAATTATCATATAATAATTATTAATATAATTAACTGTAATAATAGAGATATGCAAAAGGTATGATGCAGACACGGAAGGGACATCTGATCACATTGGGGGAGACCAGAAAAGACCTCATTTGTTGTTATAATCAGTAAGAGGTAGACAGGTAAAGGGAAGTTTGATGATAGTGGAGGAGGCCACTTAAGAGCACAATGTGAATGAATGCACAGAGAAATAAAACGGTCTAAGAAGTTGACTAAACTGTAGAGTGAGGAAGGGGCTAGATTACAGAAGGATTTGTGGGTCATGCTTAGGAGTTTGGACTTTGTACTATGTGTAGATGATAAGATACCATTGAAGGGTTTTTAATAAGGGAGCAGCATTGTTATAACTGCTTTCAAAAGAGTGATCTGGCTCTACAGTCTGGAAGATGGTTTGAGGAGGGGCATAACTGGAGGCCAGGAGAACAGGTATGAGACGTGTAATGAATAGGTGGAAGATATGGGGCTGAATCACCAGAGCAGTGGTGGTAGAAATAAGGATAGGAGAGGAGAAATTTGGCAAGTATGTGGGAGATTAAATTGGCTGGATCTATTGATTAGTTTTGGGATTAAGGGAGAAGAAGGCCTCTAGGATGCTTTCTCGTTTAGTTCTGAGTGACTGCATGAATGGTATTTTCACCCCCCTTCCAAAGAAGAGAGAAGTGGAGGGGCAGATTTTGTCAGGAGGTATAATGAATTCTGTTATTGACAAGTTCAGATGCTCGACTGTGGAGACATTTTTATAGTGATTCCTGCTGTTTTTGCTGCAACACATAGCCATGAGATTGTCTGTGTTACTACGAGGTGAACTAAAGTTACATTGGGATTCTGGAAGTAACCCACTTAATAATATTGCACAACGTCCAGACTAAAGAGACTAGTTGAGATTTCACCAGCAATGAGGGGTGGTACTGTGTCTATTACAGTCTTTTAAATTAGCCACTTGCTTATGTGAGATTTGATTAGTTAAAACTAGTGGTGTAGAATTATGTAGCCAATATATGGCTATCTGATCACTTTCTAAAACAAATTTATGTCATGGTTTTGAATAAATTAAATTATCTGTGCCTCAGTTTCTTTATTTGTAAAAAGGGAGATGATACTAATTGCCATCTATCACAAAAAGTCTTGGAAGATTATTCAGGTAGCACAATTAATTACATGTTAATAATTTTGATTACAGTGAAAGAAATTATTGTTTTAGTCGTTCTTTGCTTTCTCGATGTCACTCCTTTGGAAATAATTCCTGGTCCCATGGTGGCAACAGTTCCCAAAGGGACTGAAAGAATGTCATCTTGGTAATTTATGAAAACTGATTGTAACAGTTATTTTTCTGATTGAACATGTGAAATATATTCTGTTGAAAGTATTTTATGACTGCAGTGTGGCAAAATCTGCAAATGACAACGTCCTGCAGTCTGTCAGAGCAAGATTTTAAAAATAAAGCACTGAATTTAAACCCAACATTGGTTACCACCTGTTACTGAGAAGTCTTTCAGAATTAAATGTCTATATTTAGAGAAAGTAATACTTGGCACTGGTTTAAGATAACTAGGTTCTAAAATTTTGTTATGTTTATTTTTAGGTGATTGCTCATGCTTTTCACCAAATGTAAAAACGTAGTAAACTCTTTGTGGGGCTCTTGAGGGGAATTGTAGTAATTGTAGAGCATTAGCTACTTAACCATAAACAAACTTGAAACTATTTTTTTTCTGTTAAAAACAGAAACAATTTCTTGAAAACTACTTTTTAAAAATGGATATAATTTACATGATTTATATCCCCAAATCCACATCTTGCCTTAAGAATTCTATTAAGTATCATATATTCTAATTCCTTTGCAGCAGCTGTTTTAAGCAGTTGTCTAGTATCATCTGTCTTCTGTTGAGATCAGTAGTCTATAGATAGAAGAATCCCTAGAGTTTGAAATAAGTTCCCTTGTAGGGGGAAAAGTGTATACTACATTTTTCACCCTTTAATCTCTCACTGATAATACTGAATTTATTGTGTTCTTGGTGACCTTATGCCTAATATGGGGTACAGAAATGTTTTAATAATAAAATTGATTGAAAATGCTGATTTTCTTTTGTATCAGTTTCTTTAATTTGTTTTTTGGAGACGGAGTCTCACTCTGTTGCCCAGGCTGGAGTGCAGTGGCGCAATCTTGGCTCACTGCAACCTCCGCCTCCCAGGCTCAAGCAGTACCCCGCAATATCAGCCTCCCAAGTAGCTGTGACTAAAGGCATACATCACCACACCCAGCCAATTTTTATATTTTTTGTAGAGATGGAGTTTCACCATGTCGTCCAGGCTGGTCTCAAACTCCTGGGCTTAAGGGATCCAACCACCTTGGCCTCCCCAAGTGCTGTGATTATAGGCATGAGCCACAGTGCCTGGCCTTGTATCAGTTTCTAATAGTCCAGCGGGCCCAGTGACTTTGTTAGCAACTTCTTTAAAAGTGATTATTATTAGGCTGGGTGCAGTGGCTCATGCCTGTCCTAGCACTTTAGGAGGCCAAGGCAGGAGGATTACTTGAACTCAGGAGTTTGAGACCAGCCTGGGCAACATTGAGACCTCATCTCTTAAAAAAAAAAGTGATCATTATTAGTGTTTGTCTAGGGCTAGATGGGTTGGGGGGAAATTGGGAGTGACTACCACTGGGTACTGGGTTTCTTAATGTAAATGAATAAAGTTGGTTGCTATAAAGGGACTAGGAGCAGGCAGGACCATGGGGTGTATTAGAAGAGTATATGCCCTTCTAAAGGGGACAGCCACTACTCTGTTTTGGTCTACTACTTCCTTATCTAATTGCAGGCCCGATATAACTACATCTTTTAATTTTCAGGAAAAGCAGGAACTGGGTATTTTTAATTGCTCCTAATTTTTTAAACAGTACAACAAATTAAAAAAAAATTTAAACACTTTGCAAGCCAGACTGCAAAATATGAAGATAATCCTTCATGGACCAAATATTATAGGCTAGATCAGCTACAGATTAGATTATCTCTGTTGACCTGGCTAGCTGTAGGACTCCTTTTAAAAAAATCTTACAAAAATATAATGTAGGACAGGCACAGTGGCTCATGCCTGTAATCCCAACACTTTGGGGGCTGAGGCAAGAGGATCGCTTGAGCCCAGGAGTTCCAGACCAGCCTGGGCAACATAGGGAGACCTCATCTCTACAAAAAATAAAAAAATTAGTCAGGTTTGGTGGCATGCACCTGTAGTCCCAGCTACTTGGGAGACTGAAGCAGGAGGATTGGTTGAGCCCAGGAGTTTGTGACTACAGTGAGCCGTGATTGCACCACTGTACTCCAGCCTGGGCGACAGAGTGAGACGCTTTCTCTAAAAAAAAAAAAAAAAAAAAGAAGAAGTATGTATGTATGTATAGCTTTTTTTTTTTTTTTAATGCTATCGGTAGATCACTGTGCCTGTTTTGTTCCAGACACTTAGTGGGTGCGTTACAGAACCTGTCTCCTGCAAATGCGTAATCAGTACACTTGTAGAGAGTACTTTAACATATCTAATTTTACTGTCAATGCCTGTATACATTATTTCAATTTTAAACTTGAAGAAGCAGAGACTCATAGATGTTAAATAATTTGACCATGTATCACACCTGGTTCTTAGCAGAGACTGACTGAGTCCTCGGTTTTTTTTTGCCTCCTAATCTAGTAATCTGCTATACTAGTTACTACTGCGCAAACACTTTGGTAGTCTACTGACAGATATTTGAAATAAAAATCTTATTTAACATCTTGAAATAGAAAAAATAAACCATGTAGGTATTTTGCTCCCTGTTCAATTCCATCTCCCTCCCTACAGAATAAGAATGTGTTTGGTGGCAGTGGTAGTTTAAGGGCCTATGTTTATTGGATGTCTCTGATGTGTTATACCAGTGCTTTAGTGTTAGTTACCTTCTGAATCTAGTGACATGTCAATAATTATGTTAATCTATTTCTAAGAAGGATGGAGGGAGGTCTTACAATAAAATACGTAACTACAAAGAAAACAGTGAATAAAAATAAAAGCACACATTTGAACAATGCAGATATAGCTAAGTACATGGAGAAGGGTCATTATCCTGGTAAGCCTGTCTAAAGAGATCTAGAGCAAAAATCCTGGGGTACAGGTAAAATAAAGGTCATTTCAGTAACATTTTGGCAACCTGAATTCAAACATACTTAAATTTGTGGAAAGAGAAAAATTAGTTTAGGTCCTCCCCTCTCCCCTCCTTCCCAAGGGAGATCTGTAGCTATTTGTAGGTTATAGCCTTTTTCTTTTTTTCCTTTTTTTTTTTTTTTTTTTTTTTGAGAAGGAGTTTGATTCTTGTCACCCAGGCTGAAGTGCAGTGGTGCAATCTTGGCTCACTGCAACCTCCGCCTCCTGGGTTCAAGAGATTCTCCTGCCTCGGCCTCCCGAGTAGCTGGGATTACAGGTGCCCGCCACCATGCCCAGCTAATTTTTGTATTTTTAGTAGAGATGGGGTTTCGCCATGTTGGCCAGGCTGGTCTCGAACCCCTGATCTCAGGTGATCCGCTTGCCTCTGCTTCCCAAAGTGCTGGGATTACAGGCACGAGCCACCCTGCCTGGCTGGTTATAGCCTATTTCTTTTCTTTTTCTTTTTTTTTTTTTTTTGTTGGAACATTTTATTGAAAAGAAAAACTGTATAAATAAGTTCTTGGTTTGATAGTAACAAAGGCTTATGTTCCCCCTTCCCTCCCCATCTTTGAAGAACTAAAAAAGAAACAAAAAGTTCATCCCCATGACGCCATTCTTGACCAGAGTCTGCCCAGAAGCCTGTCCTGTGAGCTCTTTCTCGATCTGCCTCAATGGGGCCAGGTCATTCTGGGGATGCCTGGTCCCAGGGGCTGCAGCACCTAGTTTTGTAGTTGGGAGAGACTGGGATAGAGCTGGGGAGGTGGCTGAGGTGGTTTAGTGTCAGGAGAAGAGGGCTGGCTGACCCCCCTAGCTCCATTTGGTCTCACAGGTGAGAAGGTACTTGGCTATAAATATGAACACTGATTGAGGCAGGCTTGATCTGGGACTTTGAGGGCAGGCAGGATGATTATGGCCCAGGTACCACAGGATGTGGAGTTTCTGGGCTCAGCATCATGGTATCTGGGGCCCACGTCCAAGTGGAGTAAATTCTAGCTGGGAAGGGCCGTTCAAGCACACGGGAACCCTGGTTTGTTTGTCCACCCCCACCCATGGAGTATCCAAGCTGGTACCTCACCTCCCCCGAATCCCAGTAGCACCCATGTGTCTCAGAAGCCTTTGGCTGCCTCCTGCCATCCTGTGTGCACCCTGAGGCCCTAAAACTCGTCTTGCATCTTGTCAACCTTAGGCCGGACCAGGTGCCCAGTGAACAGCAGGGAGCCGCTCTGGGTGTCCCACACCAGGAAGATGAAGGGGTGGTCGGAGTAGAACAGCTTGGGGCTGCGCAGCTCCTTGCTCCCATAGATGTCCTGGTCAAAGGAGTTGCCGTCTGTGTCCAACTCAAAGGCGGTGGCGTGGAACACGCTGGTCAGGTACAGGTCCTTCTTGTGTGGCATGCGTGACAAGTTTGCCTTGTTCTTGTCAATGGCCTCAGTCAGGCCAAGCCTAGCCAGGAGTTTCTGCAGGTCATGGGAACTTCCACCACCCGCTTGGGCAAGGAGATGGCGACAGGCTTCTGCTTCTTCCCCATCCAGATCTTCAGCTGCTCTTTGGTTACCAGCTTTTTAAGGCCTCGAGGGGCTCCACGTGGTGGGGCATGAGGATGATGAGGCTGGAGAGCTTGTGGGCCAGGGGCATCTCCACGATTTGCAGCTTTTCCTTCTCATTGTCATAGTAGTTGTAGAGGCCTGTCTGGTGCATCACCATGACACCCACGGTATAGAACCGAGTCACCATGAAGCCACGGTTTTCCACCATCTTGTGGTGGAATTTCTCATTCCAGTGTGGCTTGAAGAACATGGTGTTGACAAGCAGGGCGCCATCCATGCACTCCATGTCCTTGGTGACCTTGGGCAGCTTGCCGTCGGTGGTCTGCACGGCCCACTCGTGGATGGACTGCAGCGCACTGCGCTTGTCATGGAAATTGATCTTGGAGTGCTCGCAGTTGTAGTGCTGCTTGCTGCTGCGCACGAAGTCATCAGCGAAACTCACTGAGCTGGGTCCCTACAGGCGACTGCACAGCTTCCAGGTCACGTTGCGCGCGGTGGAGTTGCTGAGTGAACGCAGCGGCTCGCCCACGCCGGCGTGCACCTCCTCGTCGCTCAGCTGCTTGGCACTCAGCACTGCCTTGGCCTCCGACGCCGTGGTCGCCTTGCCGCCCAGCGACACGAGCCCCAACGACGAGGCCACCACCACGGGCGACACCAGGATGTTCTCCACCGCCTGGTCCTTGGCCATGGCCTGGTACAGGCTGAAGGCCAGGCCGGCGCTGTGTTCGGCCAGCGTGGCTGCCTTGGGGCTCAGCTTCTCTGCGGTGCCAGGAGCTGCTGTGGCTGCAGGTTTCTTCACCTCGGTCGCCAAGGCCACCGCCAGGAGGCAGAAGGCGCTGAGGAGCAGGAGGGAGCGCGTGGCTGGGAGGTGGTTTGCGTGCACCACGATGGACCTGTCAGGGCTAGGTCAAGCTGGGTTGGGCTGGGTTGGGCTGGGCTGGCTCCAAGACGGGAGTCTCGCTCTCGAGCCGCGACACGATTCTACTCTTCTATAGCCTATTTCTATGTAACTTTTACAACTTATAGCTGAGGGTTACCTATATGTTCATTATTCATGTCTTTTTTTTAGGGGCGGGGTCTCACTATGTTGCCCAGGCTGCATTATTCATGTATTTATCTTGTTAAACCACCAGCTTTAGACTTGTTTGTTCTCCTCCCTAATTTTCTAATCAGGCTTCTACATGTTGAGGAAAGGATTCTTAAAGCAATCCTTTGCTCCCATGCTCCCCTAACTACTGAAAAATAAATCCAATAATACAATTTGAATTAAAAAAAATTAAGATTTTAAGGGTATGGTAGTATGCCCCCTTATTCAAGGAGGATATATTCCAAGACCCCCGGTGGATGCCTGAAACCATGGATAGTACCAACCCCTATTATAGGTTATGCATTTTCCTAAGTCTAGAACTTTCATTCTTTCACTTAAAGGAAGCACTATGGCTTCTCTTTGGCATATCTGAATTGCCAACATTACTACTCTTTTGCTTTGGGGCCGTTATTTAAGTAAAATAAGGTTACATGAACACAAGCATTGCAATACCCCACAGTTGATCTGGTAACCAAAATGGCTACTAAGTGACTAATGAGTGGGTAGTTTATGCAGTGTGGATAGGCTGGACAGTGGGATGATTGACATTCCAGGAAAGGGGAGCCAGTATTGTGAGAGATTTTAATCGTGCTACTCAGAATGGTGCACAATTTAAATCTTACAAATTGTTCCTTTCTGGAATTTTTCACTTAATATTTTTGGACTGGTTGTCTAAGGGTAACTGAAATGGCAGAAAGCTAAATTGGAGGACAGGTACTACTGTAACTTACATTGAAATTGTCAATCTAAAAACAACAACCAGTAAATAAGCACTTTTTTTTTTTTTTAAGACAGTCTCCTTCTGTCGCCCAGGCTGGAGTGCAGTGGCGTGATCTTGGCTCACTGCAATGTCCGCCTCCCACGGTCAAGTGATTCTCCTACCTCAGCCTCCAGAGTAGCTGGGATTACAGGCGCGTGCCACCATGCCTGGCCAATTTTTTTTTCTTTTTTTTTTTTGAGACAGAGTTTCACTCTTGTTGCCCAGACTGGAGTGCAATGGCGCGATCTCAGCTCACCGCAACCTCCACTTTCCCGGTACAAGTGATTCTCCTGCCTCAGCCTCCCGAGTAGCTGGGATTATGGGTGTCTGCCAACCACGCCCAGCTAATTGTTTTGTATTTTTAGCAGAGACGGCGTTTCACTATTTTGGCCAGGCTGGTCTTGAACTCCTGACCTCAGATGATCCACCCGCCTCAGCCTCCCAAAGTGCTGGGATTACAAGCGTGAGCCACCGTGCTCAGCCGCCCGGCCAATTTTTGTATTTTTAATAGAGACGGGGGGTTTCACCAGGCTGGCCAGGCTGGTCTCGAACTCCTGACCTTGTGATCCACTCGCCTCAGCCTCCCAAAGTGCTGGGATTACAGGCATGAGCCACCGCGCCCAGCCAGTAAGCACTATTTTTACTTTAGGAGTTTGCTTCAACAGAGTTTTTAAAAACAGAATTCTGACTTAACAATAAATAACATTTTTTATATAAAGCATCTAACATAGTGCTTGGCATAAAACAGAACTCAATACATTTTAGTTTAATCAGATCATCAAAGTAGTATGGATGTGGACTATCTGCTGACATAATGGAATTAGCCTTTTATATAAAATGCTTTTTTAAACCATATGAAGTGTTCAGAGTGAAGTTGGTAACATTGTGGATATTTGGCTTCTTAAAGTCGTAAGGGCCCTGAGGATGTTGCCATTACTTTGGGTGATGGGACTCGTAAAGAATTAGGAAACTCAGAGAAAATGGCTCTATGGCCACATAAGCAGGTGTCATGGAATCTTTTAATCACTTCGTTGCCTTGGGCAAAACAGTAGACATAATGGAACTTTTTTTTTTTTTTAATAGAGTCTCGCTCTATTGCCAGACTGGAGTGCAGTGACACGATCTCGGCTTACTGCACCCTCCACCTCCCAGGTTCAGGTGAAACTCAGCCTCCTGAGTAGCTGGGATTACAGGCACTTGCCACCACACCCAGCTAATTTTTGTATTTTTAGTAGAGACGGTTTCACCATGTTGGCCAGGATGGTCTCGATCTCCTGACCTCGTGATCCACCCACCTTGGCCTGCCAAAGTGCTGGGATTATAGGCATGAGCCCCCACGCCCGGCCGATAATGGAACATTTCTAAAAAAATTTTTTTTTTTGGGGGGGTGACAGAGTCTTGCTCTGTCACCCAGGTTGGAGTGCAATGGCACAATCTCAGCTCACTGCACCCTCTGCCTCCTGGGTTCAAGTGATTCTCCTACCTCAGCCTCCTGAGTAGCTGGGATTACAGGCGCACACCACCATGCCTGACTACTTTTTGCGTTTTTAGTAGAGACAGGGTTTTGCCATGTTGGCCAGACTGTTCTCAAACTCCTGACCTCAAGTGATCCCCTGGCCTTGGCCTCCCAAAGTGCTGGGATTACAGGCATGAGCCACTGTGCCAGGCCCATTTCTAAATATTTTAAATGAACAGAATCTAAGCAGATACTATTCACTTAAAATATTTGTTGCACACCTATCTAGCACAATGCTTGACTGAGTGGGATCATACTGCTTTTGTCTTTAATAATTCACACAGTAGTACAAGGCAGAACCATCTTACATTATCTCTGGAACAAGACTGGCAATAATTTTTTTTAAAAATGAGTATGTATGTCATAAATGCCGTATCAGTTTTATCATCAAAACTCTGCAGGAGTTTAGAGAGAAGTCACATTTCCCTGAGGTATTAATCTAGTCAAATATTTATAATAGTATGGATTGTTTTTATGGCTGTAACATATAGCATATGAAAATGTTTATGTTAAATTAAAACATAGATTGCAATATAGTTATGAGTACAGTGTTATATACAATTTTTTAAAAGGCTAGAAAGACACCAAGATCTTAAGAAACAATTGTATCAGGTCAATTTGGGGAGGCTGAGAGGGAGGAAGGGAGGTGAAATTAGAAATATATATAATTTTTTATTTAGAAATATATGTTTAAAATAAATAATACAGTCACATAGTTTCAAAATTTAAAAAATAAACTGTTTTAGGTCTTGCCCTGGGTGATAGAGACACCAGTGACATAGAAATGACAATAGGAAAGGTAATAATAACTACCAGCATTTAAAAGTATACAGTAGTTTCCTTCCCATAATCACCCTCTACCACCTACTTCCCCTCACCTCCTCAAGACCACTATTATTGTGCATCCTGCAAGTGACGTTTTTTGTCTGATAAGCAAAGATATAGATTTATTATAGATCATTTATCTCTCTCTTTTACAAACTGTTCTGTACCTTGCTTTATTAACAATATATTGGACAGCTTTCTTTTTTAAATAACATTTTACAGTTTACTTACTCTTTGTAATTGTCTCATAGCATTATTTCATTAAATGGACTATCATAATTTATTTCACCAGTCTCTATTCCATGACTTTGCTATTACAAGCTGTGCTGTAATGAATAACATTATAGTTAACGTCATTTTGTACTTGTACGTATTATCTGAAGGATAAGGATAGGTTCCTAGAGGTAGAATTGCTGGATCAGTGCATTTGCATTTGTAATTTTGATAGATATAAATCAGTGGCATGCAATCATAATCACCTAGGGAACTTTTCTGAAGTTGTTATGTCTGCCTTTCCTAAAACCTGGGAGTTATTTCTTGTTGTTTTTTGGTTTTCTATAGATCTGGGATGGGGCTCAGGTATCTATATATTTTAAAGTGTCTAAACTGGGCTGGGCATGGTGGCTCATGCCTGTAACCCCAGCGCTTTGGGAGTCTGAGGTGGGTGGATCACTCGAGGTCAGGAGTTCGAGACCAACCTGGCCAACATGGTGAAACCTCCTCTCTACTAAACATACAAAAAAATTAGCCGGGCGTGGTGGCGCGCGCCTGTACTCCCAGCTATTTGGGAGGCTGAGGCATGGGAATTGCTTGAACTCGGGAGGCGGAGGTTGCAGTGAGCCAAGATTGCACCACTGCACTCCAGCCTGAGCAACAGAGCGAGACTGTCTCAAAAAACAAACAATAAACAACAACAACAAAAAAACCCAAGTGTCTAGAGTGATTCTGATGTTTATCTCAGAAGAAAGAGGAGAGGCTCAACATTGTAAAATGGAATGTGGTACGCAGAAGCATATTTAGGCTTGGCTCGGTGGCTTATACCTGTAATCCCACCGCTTTGGGAGGCTGAGGCAGGAGGGTCACTTGAGCCCCAGGGGTTTGAGACTAGCCCGGGCAACACAGGGAGACCCTTTCTCTACAAAAAAAAAAAAATGTAAAAATTAGCCACATGTGGTGGTGCGCACCTGTAGTCCCAGCTAGTTGGGAGGCTGAGGTGGGAGGATCACTTGAGCCCAGCAGGTTGAGGCTGCAGTGAACCATGATCACACCACTGCACTCCAGCCTGGGCAACAGAGCAAGACCATCCCTCAAAAAAAAAAAAACAAAAAAAAAAAAACAGATAACGGGGGAAGCTATACATGTGAGAGGCAGGGGATATATGGGAAGTTTTTATACCTTTCACTTATTTTTGCTGTGAACCTAAAATTGCTCTAGAAAATAGAGTTTAATAAAAAATAATTTTAATCTGGGCATGGTGGCTCACACCTATAGTCCCAGTTACTTGGGAGGCTGAGATGAGAGGATCACTTGTGCCTACAAGTTTGAGTCCAAAGACCCTATCTCTAAAAATAATAATAATAATAATAATAATAATTTCTAAAAAACTTGTTTTAAAAAATTATTATTATTTAAAGAGAGATATTGCAGTTATCTACTGCTGTGTAGCAAATTACCCTCAAAACTTAGTGGCTTAAAACAATTATCATTTTATTTGCTCAGAGTTCTGTGAGTCAGATATTTGGGCTGGGCTTTGCCCAGATATTTGGGTTGTTTTTTCCTGATCTCACCTGGGGTCACTCATGTGGTTGCAGTCATCTAGTGGTGCCACTGGGCCTGGATAGTCTAAGATGACTTCTTTCACATGTCTGGCTTTGGTGATGGCTGTTGGCTGGGCCCTTGAGGCCTAGGCATGGAAGTCGCATAGCATTACTCCTACCATATTGTATTGGGCAAAACAAGTCACAAGGCTAGCCTAGATGAAATGAGGGAAGAAATAGACTTCACTTCTTCATGGAAGGACCTGCAAAAAATTTTTGGTCTTTAAAAAACAAATCTGCCTTCACAAAACAAATCTACCAGCCAGTGTGGTGGCTCACGCCTGTAATCCCAGCACTTTGCGAGGCTGAGGTGGGTGGATCACCTGAGGTCAGGAGTTCGAGACCAGCCTGGCCAACATGGCGAAACTCCTTCTCTACTAAAAATACAAAAATTAGCCGGGTGTGGTGGCACGCACCTGTGAATCCTAGCTACTCAGGAGGCTGAGACAGGAGAATTGCTTGAACCTGGAGGCGGAAGTTGCAGTGAGCCAAGATACCACCACTGCACTCCAGCCTGGGCAACAGAGTGAAACTCCATCTCAAAAAAAACAAATCTACCACAAATAGAAGGCCAGGATTAGTTTAGGATGTGTTACTCAGCCCATTTAGCCTTTTAGCCTAAGTAGTATTTCCCCCAAAGCTAATTATTCAACGTTCTTTGGTTATCTTTATTACCTTGCCCTCACCTCTTTCTCTGTTTCTGCTAGAAAGAAGATGAAATAGAAATTAAAACGAAAACAGGAAAGTTGTACCACTAGTTACCTAACTGAATTTTTGAAAACTCTGAATTATGAAACCATTTTAAAAAAGAAAATGTACTGTATTTACTTTTGGATATTCTCATGAACTTGATTAACAGTGATATAGAGAGCTCAGGATCCTGACTTTTAATAATAGACCAGGATTATGTGTTATTACCACATTATTTGTTAGTATTTAATTAAATATCTTGATATTAAAATTTTTTAAAAGATACAACTATTTAAAATCTTGACCTTAGTATTAATTTCCTGGGCAAATTATTTGATTCATATTCTGTACAGGTAGAGATCGATGACCACCTTTTGGAATGATCTGAAATCCTGAATTGGCTGATGCTGAATTGATGATGTCTTTACTTCTATTTAACTAACTTTTGCCAGTACTCAGCAAATGCAAATGCTATCTTCCTTTGAGTTACATTAGTTTATAATCCTCTGTGGTATGCCATTTAATTCTGCTTTTCATTCTGAAAGAGTTCTTAGCCCCTGTTCATTATTCATGGGAAACAGTTGTGCAGCATGCCTTGACATTAAGTTGAGCATCTAAAATTAGTCCTGCTACAATCAGTTGTTGGGAACAAGGTTTCAATAGTTGTGGCATGTGTTAAGTAGACATTGCAAGGTTGGAAGGAACTCCCTAGAAATAAGTAAGTTATGTGTTATGTATGTGTTCATTTGTGTATCTATGTGTATATATATATGTGTGTGTATATATATGTGTATATATATGTATATATACACATATATACGTATATATGTATATATATACGTGTATATACATATATACGTATATATGTACATATATACGTATATATATACATATACACGTATATATGTATATACACGTATATATACACATATGTAAAATGGAATGTCTCTTTTTATTAAGCAAATTAACAAATTATATGTTACCACAAATTCTTCATATGCAATACAAAGCATCTTTGTTCATGCACTATGCTATTTAATCAATAATTTCAGAAGAAAAATATGTTATTGAGAACTTGACAGATAAAACATTTTTTGCATGTTTGTTTTGTGGTTTTGTGGTTTTCAATTTTTAAAATAAATAATTGTATTACATGTACTCTATTTCAAGCGAATGGCTTTTCTTTCTCTCTTCAGAGTTTATAGAAACCTATTCACCAAAATGGCATCCTGGTTATATGAATGTCTTTGTGAAGCTGAACTTGCACAGTATTATTCTCATTTCACTGCCCTTGGCCTTCAGAAAATAGATGAATTAGCCAAGATTACAATGAAGGACTACTCCAAATTAGGAGTCCATGACATGAACGACCGCAAACGTCTCTTCCAACTTATCAAAATTATTAAGATTATGCAAGAAGAAGATAAAGCAGTCAGTATCCCAGAGCGTCATCTTCAGACAAGCAGCCTGCGCATCAAATCTCAGGAATTAAGATCTGGCCCTCGCAGACAGCTGAATTTTGATTCTCCTGCTGACAATAAAGACAGAAATGCCAGCAATGATGGGTTTGAAATGTGCAGTTTATCAGATTTCTCTGCAAATGAACAGAAGTCCACTTACCTAAAAGTGCTAGAACACATGCTACCAGATGATTCCCAGTACCATACAAAAACAGGAATTCTGAATGCCACAGCTGGTGATTCCTATGTGCAAACAGAAATCAGCACTTCACTCTTTTCACCAAATTACCTTTCTGCAATACTGGGGGATTGTGATATTCCCATTATTCAAAGAATCTCTCATGTTTCAGGGTATAACTATGGAATCCCTCATTCTTGTATCAGGTAATAAATTTTATCTTTCTTTCTTTTGAGGGAAAGTAGCCTCAGGCAAGGGCAGGCCTCTCCTTCATGTCCAGCAGACAGCATCTACTCCTTATTTATAGTAAATGAATATAACAGAAATTATCATGAACAGCATTTGCATCAATAATAGGAATACCTGGATGTGGGAAAATTAATGAGAAATTGGGACTTTCTAGGTGGGAGAAAGATGATATTGTTCATGTACATCAGAACAGCTGCTACTTGCCAGGATCTGTAGCAGATCTGTTTCTATTGTTTATTATAGCGTAACATGATACATCTAGTACATCTGTGAAAGTGAAATAGTTAACCCTTCTACAGTGGAGAAAAAAATTACACAATCCACAGGACTTTTTTAAGGTTATCAAATTCACTTAACCCAACCAGGAGACTTAAAGATGCTTTGTTAAAAAACAAGGGCATGTAGTTTAATTAAGTAGGTCTTTGGGGCAGTTAGTTCACCTACACACATTGAAATATGATCCTAATTTTGAGTGCTTTCTACAATTTCAACCCCGGAAAAAACAGATAATTTTGGTGATTACAAACAGTAAGACATTGTTGGTGGAGATGAGAGTTTGAGAGTCAGGGTGACAATAAGTTATTTTCACCTAGTGCTTCGAGTTAGAATTTGAAATAAGGTCCCTAAGAGGTGAAATAACAAGTAATCCCTAGTACTAACAATGGTATAATAGGAAATATGTTCTTTTAATCTTGTAAAAAAAAAAAAAAAGTACTCCTTGTTTTATTTTAAACATTATATATGTGAGTTATGGGCAAACAAAATTCATTCTTGAGCCATATTTTCTTTTTAAAAATACTGTTATTCATACCTTAAGATAAAGAATTTATATCTGGTCTTACATTGGCTAAGGTTTCAGAAGATCTCATAATCAGTTATTTTACTCCATAAAAATAGAAGACTCAGTTTTAACAGTAAAAATATCTTTAATAATTTGAAATACATAAGTGAATTTTTATTATAATATTTCTGAAAACATTTTGTTTGGTCTAGGAGATCACAGAGCATGTAATACTGTTTTCTTCTTTTAATTCTGAGAGGAATAGATTGTTCCTTGACTATGAAGGCAGATTGTTGCTATTGCATTGGTTACCTCAGCGGTGAAGGAGTAAATATTTTCTTTTTTTTTTTTTTTTTTTTGAGACGGAGTCTCGCACTGTCGCCCAGGCTGGAGTGCAGTGGTGCAATCTCTGCTCACTGCAAGCTCCGCCTCCCGGGTTCATGCCATTCTCCTGCCTCAGCCTTCCGAGTAGCTGGGACTACAGGCGCCCGCCACTATGCCTGGCTAATTTTTTGTATTTTTAGTAGAGGTGGGGTTTCACCATGTTAGCCAGGATGGTCTTGATCTCCTGACCTTGTGATCCACCCGCCTCAGCCTCCCAAAATGCTGGGATTACAGGCGTGAGCCACCACGCCTGGCCTATTTTCTTGAATATTACTTTTTTACTGAACAGTACATAAAAATCTAAATTGGAATTACTTATAAGTAAAAATACCACTTTATTTAACACCATCAAGGATAGGATGGATATTTTAGTTTAACCATTACCATTTCATTTATTTGACTCTTTTGTTTATTTGTTTGTTTGTTTGATTTGTAGAGACAGGGTCTTGCTCTGTCACCCAGGCTGGAGTGCAGTGGTGCAGTCATAGTCCACTGGGGCCTCAAACTCCTGAGGTCAAGTGATCCTCCTGCCTCAGCCACCCAAGTAGCTAGGACTACAGGTATGCACCACTGTCCCCAGCTAATTTTTCAATTTTTTGTAGAGTTGGGGATCTCACTATGTTACCCAGGCTGGTCTTGAACTCCTGGCCTCAAGTGATCCTCCCACCTCAGCTTCCCAAAGCACTGGGATTACAGGTGAGAGCCACTCTGCCCTGCCCAAACTAGAGCTTTTTAAAAAAACATGCATGTCTTTTTGCTCCTTGAACTTGAAACTATGGGCCTTTTGTTCATATGAGTCATCCTAGAGCCCTGAACAATTTTAAAAAGGACCAAACATTTTCTATCCTCTTTGATCAGCTTTATATGATTAGGTTATTGATATCCAACAACTAAAGATTTTAACACAAAACCCTTATTAAAATGATGCATTAGGCCAGGCACAGTGGCTCACACCTCTAATCCCAGCACTTTGGGAGGCCAAGGCGGGTGGATCACCTGAGGTCAGGAGTTCAAGGTCAGCCTGGCCAACATGGCTAAACCCCATCTCTACTAAAAATACAAAAATTAGCAGAGCGTCATGGCAGGTGCCTGCAGTCCCAGCTATTCTAGAGGCTGAGGTAGGAAAATCGCTTGAACCCAGGAGGCAGAGGTTGCAGTGAGCCAAGATTGTGCCACTGCACTCCAGCCTGGGTGACACAATGAAACTCTGTCTCAAAAAAAAAAAAAAGCATTAAAAATTTTCATTTTTGATGAGCACAGTGGCTCATGCCTGCAATCCTGGCATTTTGGGAGGCCAAGGCAGGCAGATTGCTTGAGCCCAGGAGTTCGAGGCCAGCCTGGGCAACATGGTGAGACCCTGTTTCTACAAAAATACAAAAATTAGCCAGACATGATGGTGTGCACCTGTAGTTCCAGCTACTATTGGCTGAAGTGGGAGGATGGCTTCAGCCCAGGAGGTTGAGGCTTCAGTGAGCTATGCTCGCACCACTGCACTCCAGTCTGGGTGATAGAGCAAGACCCTGTCTCAAAACAAAAAATTCCCTTTTCTTGTGAAAAATCAAACATATGCAAAAGAAGAAAAAAATAGAACACTGAATCCCAATATGTCCATCATCCAATTTCTTTTTCTTTTTTCTTTTTTTTTTTTTTTTTTTCAGACAGAGTCTTGCTCTGTTGCCCAGGCTGGAATGCAATGGCACTATCTCACCTGTGAACTCCACCTCCTGGGTTTAAGTGAGCATGCCCAGCTAAGTTTTATATTTTTAGTAGAGATGGGGTTTCACCATGTTGGCCAGGCTGGTCTCGAACTCCTGACCTCAAGTGATCTGCCCGCCTCAGCCTCTCGAAGTGCTAGGATTACAGGCGTGAGCCACCGCACCTGGCCCGTCATCCAGTTTCAATGATTGTCACGATTTTCCCACAGTACCTCAAAATGGTACATTTCATTTATTCTGTCATTTATTTATTCCATCTGCAGTTTCATGCAAAAATGATGCATTTTAAAGTCCCTAAATGTTGGTTAAGAAAATAAAATTTGCTTTAAAACATGCCATAAAATTAGTGCTTTATGCATTCATTATATTAGAAAATTATTTGCTGGTTTTTTTTTTTTTAAACCAATTCAGATCCCAGTAAAAAAATTATTCTCCAGGCTGAGCGTGATGACTGATGCTTGTAATCCCAGCACTTTGACAGGCCAAAATGGGAGGATTGCTTGAGGCCATAAGTTGAAGACCAGCCTGGGCAAGATAGTGGGACCCTGTCCCTACAAAAATTACAAAAATTAGCCAGCTGCGGTGTTGTATGCTATAGTCCTAGCTACTTAGGAGGCTGAGGTAGAATTTCTTGAACCCTGGAGGTTGAGGCTGCAATGAGCCATGGCTGTGCCACTGTACTCCAGTCTGGGTGACAGAGTGAGATCCTATCTCAAAAAAAATTTTTTTTCAGCAGCCAGTTGGAGGGCTAAGGAAATCAGAATTGATATGAAACAATTGTATAAAATAGTATTCTATATATGATCTCTTAGGGGTTTTTTGTTTGTTGGTTGGTTTTTTGTTGTTGTTCTGTTATTTGTGTTTTTGCAAGGAAAAGGGCGGAGCAGGGTGGGGATGGAGATAGAAGAACTTTCTCAGGGTTGACACTTTACTTTGTAACTTTAAGAAATATATTATGCCTAATATACAGCAAAATGTACCAATACTTTTTTTTTTTTTGAGACAGAATCTGGCTCTGTCGCCCAGGCTGGAGTGCAGTGGCGCAATCTCGGCTCACTGCAAGCTCTGCCTCCCGGGTTCACGCCATTCTCCTGCCTCAGCCTCCCAAGTAGCTGGGATTACAGGCGCACGCCACTATGCCTGGCTAATTTTTTGTATTTTTAGTAGAGATGGGGTTTCACCGTGTTAGCCAGGATGGTCTTGATCTCCTGACATCGTGATCCGCCCACCTCGGCCTCTCAAAGTGCTGGGATTACAGGCGTAAGCCACCGCGCCCGGCTAAAAGGTACCAATACTTTGACCTGTTAAGTAATCTTGTCCTATTATTAAAAATTAAAAGCCTGTTTATAAACATATTAGACAGAACACTTCAGAGAAACAGAATCCTTGGACTGAGATGGAGAAAATCAGAGTTTGTGTTCGAAAACGCCCCCTGGGCATGAGGGAGGTACGTCGTGGAGAAATTAATATTATTACTGTAGAAGACAAAGAAACTCTACTTGTGCATGAGAAGAAAGAAGCAGTTGACCTCACTCAATATATTCTGCAGGTATGATGTTTTCGTTTTATGTTTGGAACTAATATTATCAAGTATGTCATTTTTTTTTGCTTTTTGTTTGAGTGGTGGCATACAAGTTTCTGTTAGAACACTGAAAATCAAGTTTCTGGTTCGGGTGTTGACATTCATTCCTGATGTGACACTGTATTAAGTCATTGATATCCAGGGCCTTCATTTTTTCAAAAGACGGTGCAATAGGGGATACAAAAACAATTTCTCTTGTGCAGTGGAGCTACATCATATATTCACTTAACATGCTTTGTGTGAATTTAATTATACATATTCAGCAAAAAAAAGGAGGAATGAAGGAATAAAAATAATTTAAATAATGAAGTGGGGCCAGGTGTGGTGGCTCACGCCTATAATCCCAGTGCTTTGGGAGGCTGCAGTGGGAGGATCACTTGAGCCCAAGAGTTTGAGACCACCCTGGGCACCATAGCGAGATCCTGTCTCTCCAGAAAAGATCTTAAAACTAGCCCAGCATGGTGGTGTGTACCTGTAGTCTTAACTACTCAGGAGGCTGAGGCAGGAGGATCACTTGAGCCCAGGAGTTCTGCATTACAGTGAGCTATGATTGCACCACTGCACTCCAGCCTGGGCAACAGAGGGAGGATCTGCCTCTAAAAGAATATAAAAATAAAAAACAAATAAATAATTAAGTAGTTGTCAACAGGACCAGTCACTGAATATATGACTATGAGATGTCACACAGTTGATTTCCATTCTTGCTTGCATCTCACAGTGTGAACTTCTCATTCTGCTGACTTTGAGACTTGGGTTTAATGATGGACAATATCTTTTTGGGCAACAGGACCGACAATTGCCAGCCACGTGCTTATTTTGATTCTCAGCTGTCTTGGGCTTATACTTAATTGGCGAAAATTGGGCTCTGAGCAGACCACTTTATACAGGGTAGATTGCAGTGGGTAAATAAAATCCAGAGATATGATTTCACATCTAACATATAAGGGTTTAAATAAAACACTAATAACTCAGCCATGTAAATAATGTTCACTGCCTGCTAGAGTGATTATGAAGAGTCCAAGGAGAAAGAGTTTGGTATTGAAAGAAACTTATTCCAAGCTGAAGGTACCTTGCAATAATTCTTTAGTCTCATAGGGAAACAGCAAACTCCACAGATGGAAAGAATCATCATTTAGGTACTCCTAAAATTGTGAAAAATTGTGAGTAATCTAAAACCAGATAATCCATTGGATGTTAAGATTTGAGAGTACACAGTTTCTCTTACTCTGAATCTACTTCCCTAAACATTCATATTATATTTATTCTTTCTCTCTCTCTTGTTCTCTTGCCTCAAAACCCAGTGACTGGTAGGAAGAAAAAAAAATCTGGTATGCTAGCAATTCACCTTAGTCAGCTGAGATCTTACATTAGTGGAATAAATCCTTTAATGCTGAAGTGATTTGTTAACACTTTCACCCTTTTTCAAACTTGTATTGTTCTTCTTTTTCTTTGGTTACCAAAATTGTGTTTCACAGAGATATTCAGAGTAATCCACTGAGTCTTTCTACTGGTACTAAATTACTAGGCCACTGTAAAACCAACCCAATCACTTTAACAGCCTTATCGATTGCTGATCAATGCACGGTCTATTAGTTCTCAGTGGGAGATATTTATTTTGAAAATGGACTAAATGACCAATTAGTTGTAATGCTATCTAGTTCCATGGCTACTTATAGCCATCGTAATAGCCCTATCCAATCACTGTCTACCTAAGACTTCCTTAATGATGCTTCTGTCACAGTAATTCCATCAAGGAGGCATCATCTTATCTTTCGTATTTTTCTGTTATCCCCAAACACAATAACCTTACTTTTTTTGTCATTACCACTGGTCAATACTTATTGAATACCCATAGTTTCCATGGCACTTTCTCTGCTGTTTGAACTTTGGACCTTTGCTCTCATAGGTCCGAATCCTTACCTGTCAATGCTATGATATAAAAATGCTGGGAAGACTTCTTTTTCTTTTTTCTTCCTCAAATAGAAAGAAGAAAAGGTAGGTTTATAGCAAACTGAGTGCTAAATAAATATTGATCGTAGATTCTTTGGGCTTTATTTTTAAACATATTTAGAGATAATAGGTTTTTGTGTTTGTTTTATTAAATGTCCTATCTTTTCAAATCTTGTTACTTAGTAAATATGATCATATACATGTAGTATGCTATCCTACCAAACCATTAAACTTTATATCAATATAATGAGTGAAACAAGGAAACAAACCATATTGTTTCATTCTAGTTTTTTGAAATTGGCAGTAAGTGAATACAAGTTTAATATGGAAGCTAATGCAGATGTTATATTACAAAGTGAGTAAGATTGGCCAACAAACACACAAATAAGCTATGGACCAATGGTTTTTGTCTGTCTGTTTGAGACAGGATCTGTCTCCATCGCCCAGGCTGGAGTGCAGTGGTATGATCCTGGCTCACTGCTACCTCCATCTCCTGAGCTCAAATGATCCTCCCACCTCAGCCTCTTGAGTAGCTGGGACTACAGGTACATGCCACCACGCCTGGCTAATTTTTGTATTTTTTGTAGAGATGAGGTTTTGCCGTGTTGCCCAGCTGGTCTCGAACTCCTGAGCTCAAGCAATCCACCTGCCTTAGCCTCCCAAAGTGTTGGGATTATAGGCATGAGCCACCACGCCTGGCCTGACCAATCTTATTTATAAATATGAGTACAAAAGCCTACATAAGACATTAACAAGTTAGTTTCAGTACTTTATACTGGCAGGCAAGCATAATCCAAGTTCAGTACTAGGAAAGCTATTAACTGTGATAGGCACTATAAAAGCATCTGTTTAATAATGCAACAACCATACTTGATTATTAAAATACTGTTGGTAAAATACAGAAGGATAGTTGCTAAATAATACACATACTTTTTTACTTAAAATCCTTTAAGACTCTTTATTGCACTTAGAATAAAATTTTAAAGTTTTAACAAGACTCTACGTGGTCTGGCCTCTGCTTGCCTGTACAACCAATTTCTTCAGAAAAAATACAGGCTGGGTATGGTAACTCATGCCTAGCATCCCAGCATTTTGGGAGGCCAAAGCAGGAGGATCACTTGAGCCCAGGGGTTCAAAACCAGCCTGGGTAACATGGTGAAAGCCTGTCTCTGTAAAAATTAAAAAAAAAAAATTAGGCTGGGCACGGTGGCTCACGCCTGTAATCCCAGCACTTTGGGAGGCTGAGGCAGGTGGGTCACAAAGTCAGGAGATCGAGACCATCCTGGCTAACACGGTGAAACTCCATCTCACTAAAAATACAAAAAATTAGCCAGACGTGTTGGCAGTCACCTGTAGTCCCAGCTACTTGGGAGGCTGAGGCAGGAGAATGGCGTGAACCCGGGAGGCGGAGCTTGCAGTGAGCCGAGATCGCACCACTGCACTCCAGACTGGGAGAGAGAGGGAGACTCCGTCTCAGAAAAAAAAAAAAAAAATTAGCTGGTGGTGAGGCACAGCGGCTTACACCTGTAATCCCAGCACTTTGGGAGGATGAGGGGGGCAGATCACTTGAAGTCAGGAGTTTTAAGACCAGCCTAGCCAATGTGGTGAAACTCCGTCTCTTTTAAAAATACAAAAATTAGCTGGGCCTGGTGGCACACACCTGTAATCCCAGCTACTTGGGAGGCTGAGGCAGGAGAATCACTTGAATCTGGGAGTTAGAGTTCACAGTGAGCTGAGATTGCGCCACTGCACTCCAGCCTGGGCAACAGAGTGAGACTCTGTCTCAAAAAAAAAAAAAATTGCCAAGCGTGGTGACATGTACCTGTAGTTTCAGCTACTCGGGAGGCTGAGGTGGGAGGATCACTTGAGCCTGGGAGGTTGAGACTATAGTAAGCTGTGATTGTGCCACTGCACTCCAACCTGGGTGACAGAGTAAGACTCTGTCTTAAAAATAATAATAAAGAAAAAGAGGCCAGGCACCGCGCTGGCATTACTCATGCCTGTAATCAGCACTTTGGGAGGCCGAGGCCGTGGATCACAAGGTCAGGAGATCAAGACCATCCTGGCTAACACAGTGAAACCTCGTCTCTACTAAAAATACAAAAAATTAGTCAGGCATGGTGGCAGGCGCCTGTAGTCCCAGCTACTAGGGAGGCTGAGGCAGGAGAATGGCGTGAACCCAGGAGGCAGAGCTTGCAGTGAGCCGAGATCACGCCACTGCACCCCAGCCTGGGCGACAGAGTGAGACTCTGTCTCAAAAAAAAAAAAAAAGAAAAAAAAATACATATATAGAAAAAATAAGATGACACTGAAATCTGAAATACATCAAAAAGTTAACAGTGGCTGAACACCTAGATTTAAGGATACTTTTATTTTCTTCTCTATTCTCTATATTTTGTTCTCTATTGTAATTTTGGTTTTTTAATTTTTCTGAGACAGGGTCTTGTTCTGTTGCCCAGGCTGAGGTACAGTGGTGCAGTCATGGCACACTGCAGCCTCAACCTCCTGGGCTCAAGTGATCCTCCCACCTCAGCCTCCCGAGTAGCTGGGATTACAGGCATCACACCACCATGCCAGGCTAATTTTTGTATTTTTTGTAAAGACTGGGTTTCTCCATGTTGCCTCGGCTGGTCTCAAACTCCTGAATTCAGGTGATCCACCCTCCTCAGCCTTTCAAGGTGCTGGGATTACAAGTGCCTGGCCCACATGTTACTTTTATAATCTGAAGAAAAACTTACTTAAAAAATAAACTGCACTTTGGGAGTCCGAGGTGGACAGATCACTTGGGGGCAGCAATTTGAGACCAGCCTGGCTATCATAGCGAAACCCCATCTCTACTAAAAATACAAAAAATTAGTTGGGCGTGGTGGCTGCATGCCTGTAATCCCAGCTACTCGGGAGGCTGAGGCATGAGAATCGCTTGAACCTGGGAGGTGGAGGTTGCAGTAAGCCGAGATCACACCCCTGCACTCCAGCCTGGGTGACAAAGGGAGACTGTGTCTCAAAATAAATAAACTGTGGAACTCTGATTCTGTCAAGGTTAGTAAGGTCAACGTAGGTGTTACTCCAGCCTCACTGATAAAGTGTGAGCAAATGAAAGTGTGTGTGATGCAAAGGACGTTATGAATTGTGTATATACATTAACTATAATAATCTTGCATGTTTACATATCTTTCATGAAAGATATTTACAAAAGTACTGGGAAAACCAATATCTAAACCTTATTGGAAGGAAAGATACTAATTCCCTTAATCAATAAATGCTTTCTAAGGTCTTTACTCAAAAGCTAAAGCTATCCATGAGCACTTTTAGAAGGAGAGACAGAATTGCCATATACTCGCTGTAATAAAAGGAAACAAAAAAATGTATTCCCACTTTAGTTGTGGGTTTTTTCTTTTTTTTTTTTTTTTTTTTTTTTGAGAAATGCCGAATATATCCACATCTATAGATAACTATAGATCTAGTGGGTTTCTTTGTTTTGGATTTCATACTTAACTATAAAAACCTATGGTGATAATTTGAGCAACGAATTATTTTGTCTCCTTGCCTAGAAACTGTGTATGAAATAGATATAAATAATGTTCATTAAAACCAGATTTTAGGCTGGGCACAGTGGCTCACACCTGTAATCCCAGCACTTTGGTAGGCCGAGGCAGGCGGATCACCTTCGGGAGCTCTTGAGACCAGCCTGGCCAACATGGTGAAACCCTGTCTCTACTAACAATACAAAAAAATTAGCTGGGCATGGTGGTGGGCACTGTAATCCCAGCTACTTGGGAGGCTGAGGCAGGAGAATCGCTTGAAGCAGGGAGTGGGAGGTTGCAGTGAGCCAAGATCACGCCACTGCACTCCAACCTGGGCAACAAAGTGAGACTCTGTCTCAAAAAAAAAAAAATACCACCAGATTTTAAAAATATGTTTAACTATTATTGACCTTTTTAAGCTTAATCAAAAGTTTAATGACCTCTCTATGTGCCTGTCACCCAACTTCAGTAGTTATTAATATTTTAGTGTTCTTAAAATCTTACCACATTTTTCAAAGCACTAAAAGTTCACACATCTATTATTCTTCAGATTCATTATTTTCTTACTTTGTAACTTTTTCTCTAACTTGTAGATTTGGATTTGTGTTCTCACTTTCTTCTTAGACAATCTAACAAGTTTCCATTCTAATGTAATGTAATGGTACACACAACAGATTCAAACTGGGGGTAGAGTGACCCACAGTAAATTGGCCCAAGTCCAGTTTTCTGGATCTGTCCATAAAATTTTTTCTTGACTAGATATTTAGAGCAGGCCCAAAAAGTAGAAGATAAGGCCTTATCTGTCATTCATGGTGTATGGACTGTCATTATGCTATACTCAGGCTTGAAATTACTAGGATTTCTCATATATATATTCTTACATATTAGACCAACTATACACACACACACACACACACACACGCACACACACACACACACATCTTGGTAGCCCAGCTATATATATATAAAAGAATATATATTATTGCATGTTAGTTTTATATGAAAAAGTAAATATCTCTGAATAGGATAGATTCACCTATTTTGAAATAGAAAGGTACAAAAGTGTAAAATACAAGTGTCCCTCTAATCCTGTTTCCTCCATGAAGGCAATTGGGGTTACCTATTCTAAGTGTATCTTTCCAGAGATATTCTATAAATACATGTTACTTTTATTTTTTTTTTAATTTTTTTATTTTTTGAGACTGGGTCTCATCTGTGGCCCAGGCTAGAATGCGGTGGTGCAAATAATATATTAGAATATATATCAGCCAGCATGGGCTCACACCTGTAATCCCAGCACTTTGGGAGGCTGAAGCAGACGGATCACTTGAGGTCAGGAGTTCGAGACCAGCCTGGCCAACATGATGAGACCCCCGTCTTTACTAAAACTACAAAAATCAGCCAGGCGTGGTGGCGGGCGCCTGTAATCCCAGCTACTCAGGAGACTGAAGCAGGAGAGTTGCTTAAACCCAAGAGATGGAGGTTGCAGTGAGCCAAGATCATGCCACTGCACTCCAGCCTGGGCAACAGAGTGAGACTCCATCTCAGAAAAAAAATCAATGAACAAAATATATATTACTATTATATACGTATAGTTGGGCTATATGTATATAAGAATATATATGTATGTATATTTTTATATATGTGTGTATATATACTATATATACGAGCTACCAACATAAGAATGATATATATTCATACATATATATATGTAGTTGTACCTACCAACATGGTAAGCCCCTAAATTATGGAAATAATTACAGCTGCTGAATTAATGCTTTTCAGACCCAATGTAATGGGGTCTTTTTTCTGTCTTTTTCCAAATTACTGTGATTTTTCATTTGGAAGTCGTCTTGGACCCCTTTCTCTCCCCAGCTCCCCACCTCTAGTCAGTTATCAAATTTCTTCTGTATCCATCTCTTTATTTCCATGGTTGTCAAATAATTTAGATGCTTTTTACCTCACCACTGAATTACTAGTGTCTCTGTTCTCAAACCATTCATAGTGTGAAGCCAGATTAATCTTCCAGTAAAGACTGAAATCATCCTTCTTGCCTATAAAGTTAGTTTTTCATTGTTTCCCCACTATTTACTGAATTAAATATGAGCATCCTGCCCCCCAGTTAAGACTGGTGTCCCAAGACCCCTACAACACAGTCCTAACTCATTATTCTAGTATTCTGTCTCTTTTTTTTTTTTTTGAGATGGAGTTTTGCTCGTTGCCCAGGCTGGAGTGCAATGGTGCGATCTCAGCTCACTGCAACCTCTGCCTCCCGGGTTCCAGCGATTTTCCTGCCTTAGCCTCCCAAGTAGCTGGGATTACAGGCGCCCACCACCACGCCTGGCTAATTTTTTGTAATTTAAGTAGAGATGGGTTTCACCATGTTGGCCAGGCTGGTCTCAAACTCCTGACCTCAGGTGATCCACCTGCCTCGGCCTCCCAAAGTGCTGAGATTACAGGTGTGGAGCCACTGCGCCCGGCCTCTGTTTCACTTTTCTACTTACTGTGATACTGTATTTCAATCACATTGAATCCTTGCTATTCCCTAAACATTAATTAATTAAACAGTTAATTCCTTGTGCTTCTATGCTTTGACTCTGTTCATACTTCCCCTGTGCCTGGAATACCTTCCCCCCTTCCATCACTCCCTTTCAAATTCCTCTTCTTCCCCTGTGGTCCATTCTCAGTATAGTCTTTTTCATAATCAGAGAGAATATGTTTTCCTTTGAAATCGACACGTACTTTATCTTAAGATTCTTCTACCTTCCAGTCATTTGCATACTTGTGTAGATTAACATTTTTAGGAGGTAAGATAGGGAAATGCTAGGGTAATGTCTATATCCTTGGGCCCCTTCAAGTGCCTACTGCAATGTATGTGCTACCAGCTGAGCATAAATATTTATGGAATTAAAAGTTAAGCTGTGTAATCTACAGAATTGAGATCTTCCCCTAGAATTCCTCCAAAATTCTTTTTTTTTTTTTTTAAATGGAATCTCGCTCTGTCACTCAGGCTGGAGTGCAGTGGTGCCATCTCGGCTCACTGCAAGCTCCACCTCCTGGGTTCACGCCATTCTCCTGCCTCAGCCTCCCGAGTAGCTGGGATTACAAGTGCCCACCACCATGCCCGGCTAAATTTTTGTATTTTTAGTAGAGATGGGGTTTCACCGTGTTAGCCAGGATGGTCTCGATCTCCTGACCTTGTGATCTGCTGGCCTCGGCCTCCCAAAATGTTGGGATTACAGGCGTGAGCCACTGCGCCAGATCACAAATTCCTCCAAAATTCTAAATATACTAGCTTTAGTTGGAATACGAGGATAATCCCCATAGAATTCACTTTCTCTCCTAGACCTAAGGAGGATTGACTCACTCTTGTGTTTATCAATTTACTTCTCTTAAGAGAAAACAAAAAATGTATGCCTTAGTTTTTACCTTGTAAGAACATGTCTACAGAGATCTCAAGTAAGAGGAGGCCCTGTCATTTAATAGTGATTGCTTATTTACCTCTAAGTTTGATATGGTCAGTTACTGTTACTTAAAGACATATTTTGGCATTTATCATCTGTTAACTAGAATAGTGATTAAGAAAATCCAGAATGTGTCTCTTTCCATAAAATCAAATTTATTTTTCAGCATGTTTTTTATTTTGATGAAGTCTTTGGTGAGGCGTGCACCAATCAGGATGTATACATGAAGACTACTCACCCACTTATTCAGCATATTTTCAATGGGTACGATAATGATTATTTGCTTTTTTTGCTTTTTATTTTCTATTTTCCATTAGGCCATATTTCTTTATAAATATCACATGCTTTTCAGTACTTTTGACTTAAACATGAATTTGTGTTTTGAGCTAATAAATTTAGATTCTTCTGAAAACATGCAGTATCTCTATAGGATTTACCAAGGATTTAGAAATTTGCAGTAAAATTTCCTCTTACATTGATGATATTATTTCTCTGTGTCTAGTGGAAAAATATATTGTGATAGATAGTGAAAGGGTGTTAAAAAAAAAAGAAAAATTAAGCTTTTAACAATATTATCCCATCAAAGTCCTCAGAAGAAAAAGGTTCAGGTGGTTGGAGTTAGTCTGAACTTTGATGATAGGAATTATGTATTCTGGCTATAGTTTAGTTAATTTTTTCTTTGGAATCAGATAGATAAGTGAATATCACTTATCAATTTTTCATAGATGTATTTTTTTTTTTTTTGAGATGGAGTCTTGCTCTGTCGCCCAGGCTGGAGTGCAGTGGCGTGATCTCAGCTCACTGCAAGCTCTGCCTCCCACATTCACGCCATTCTCCTACCTCAGCCTGCCTCAGCCTCCCAAGTAGCTGGGACTACAGGCGCCCGCCACCACGCCCGGCTAATTTTTTTGTATTTTTAGTAGAGATGGGGTTTCACCGTGTTAGCCAGGATGGTCTCCATCTCCTGACCTCGTGATCCGCCCGCCTCGGCCTCCCAAAGTACTGGGATTACAGGCGTGAGCCACCACGCCCGGCCTCATAGATGTTTTTTTTTTTTTTTTTGAGACAGAGTCTCACTCTGTCGCCCAGGCTGGAGTGCAGTGGCGCCACCTCGGTGCACTGCAAGCTCTGCCTCCCGGGTTCACGCCATTCTCCTGCCTCAGCCTCCTGAGTAGCTGGGACTACAGGCGCCCACCACCATGCCTGGCTAATTTTTTGTATTTTTAGTAGAGACGGGGTTTCACTGTGTTAGTCAGGATGGTCTCGATCTCCTGACCTCGTGATCCGCCCGCCTCGGCCTCCCAAAGTGCTGGGATTACAGGTGTGAGCCATCGCGCCCGGCCAGATGTATTTTTAAGTTATTATTCACACTTAATAAACGTTGAATGGGACAGGAATGATAGTAAGGGCCTCTGTTGCATAAGTATTTAAAATATAGGCATGGGCCACATGTGGTGGCTTGCACCTGTAATCCAAGCACTTTGGGAGGCCAAGACAGGAGGATAGCTTGAGCCCAAGAGTTTGAGACCAGTCTGGGCAACATAAGGAGACCCTATCTCCACACACACCAAAAAATATTTATTTTATTTTATTTTATATTTTTGAGACAGGGTCTCACTCTGTCACCCAGGCCAAAGTGCAGTGGTGCAATCTTGGCTCACTGCAACTTCTGCCTCTCAGGTTCAAGCAATCCTCCCATCTCAGCCTCCTGAGTAGCTGGGACTGCAGGTGCCTGCCACCACGCCCAGCTAATATTTCTGTATTTTTTTAGAGATGGGGTTTTGCCATGTTACCCAGGCTAGTCTTGAATTTCTGGGCTCAAGCAATCCTCCTGCTTCAGTCTCCCAAAGTGCTAGGATTATAGGTGTGAGCCACCATGCCTGGTCTATAAAATTTTTTTTTTTAATTAGCCAGGCATGGTGATGTGCACCTGTGGTCCCAGCTACTTGGGAGGCTGAGGTGGGAGGATTGCTTGAGCCCAGGAGGTCAAGGCTGTAGGAGCTGTGGTCTTGCACTGTACTCCAGCCTGGGCAACAGAGCAAGACCCTGCCTCTGTCTGTCTGTCTGTCTGTCTGTCTGTCTGTCTATCCATCCATCCAATCCACCTACCTAGCTATCTACCTACCTATCTAATCTACCTACCTACCTATCTACCTACCTATCTATTAAAATTGTAGGCATGTATGATAGAAAATGCCAAGTAGCCTGCTAGTGTTGCTGATTCCAGAGAATTTTGACTGTTTTTTCAAACAACTTTTTAAAAATTGAGGGATAATTTACATACAATAAGATGCACAGATCTTAAGTATTCACATTTGATGAGTTTTGAGAGTTTTATATACGTGAGTAACAAATATCTGTAACAAGACATGGAACATTTTCATCACCCCAGAAAGTTCTCTTGTGTCCCTATTTAGTTAATCCTCCACCCTCACCCCCAGGTCTTAGGTAACCACTGACTTACTTTCTGTCAGTATAGATTAGTTTTATCTGTTCTACAATATCATAGAGATAGAATCATTATACTTATATGCTTAACATAATGTTTGCTTAGCATAATGGTGTTTTATATTAGTACATGTTGTTACACGTATCTGTGGTTTTCATTGCTGAGTAATATTCCCTTCTATGAAATTATCACACTTTGTTTTGTCTATTCTCCTGTTGACAGATATTTGCATTGTTTCCGGCTTTGGACTTTATGAATAAAGTATGAACATTCTTTTTTTTTTGAGACGGAGTTTCACTCTTGTTGCCCAGGCTGGAGTGCAATGGTGCGATCTCAGCTCACCGCAACCTCTGCTTCCCGGGTTCAAGTGATTCTCCTGCCTCAGCCTCCCAAGTAGCTGGGATTGTAATCCCACACCCGGCTAATTTTTTATTTTTTAGTAGAGATGGGGTTTCTCCATGATGGCCAGAACATTCTTGTATAATTTTTTTTATGAGCATGTTTTCATTTACTTTGGGTAACAACCTAGAAATGGAATTGCTGGCTCATAGGATAGGTTTATATTTATAAGAAAGTGTCAGTCGGGCACAGTGGTTCACGCTTGTAATTTCACACTGTGGGAGGCCGAGATGGGAGAATCATTTGAGCCAGGAGTTCAAGACCAGCCTGGGCAATATAGTGAGACCCTATCTCTAAAAAAAATTTTTTTAATTAGCTGGGTTTGGTGGCATATGCCTGTAGTCCCAGCTACTTGGAAGGTTGTTGCTTGAGCCCAAGAGATCAAGGCTGCAATAATCTGTGATCACTACACTCCAGCCTGGGCAACAGAGCAAGACCCTGTCTCAAAGAAGAGAAAAAAGGGAAAATGTCAAACAACTTTTCAAAGTGTACCATTTTATACTCCCAACAGTAACATGAGAATTGTAGTTCTGCAATATCTGCTATCGTCAGGCTTTCTTATTTTAGCCAATCTAATGGGTATTAAATAATCTCATTGTAGGTTTAATTTGAGTTTCTCCAATGCCTGATGATACTGAGCTTCTTTTCATGTTCTTTTTTTTGAGACGGAGTCTCGCAGCCCAGGCTGGAGTGCAGTGGCGCGATGTTGGCTTACTGCAAGCTCCGCCTCCTGGGTTCACGCCATTCTCCTGCCTCAGCCTCCCGAGTAGCTGGGACTGCAGGTGCCCGCCACCACGCCCAGCTAATTTTTTCTATTTTTTAGTAGAGACGGGGGTTTCACCATGTTAGCCAGGATGGTCTCGATCTCCTGACCTCATGATTCACCTGCCTCGGCCTCCCAAAGTGCTGGGATTACAGGCCTGAGCCACCGCGTCCGGCCTTTTTTTTTTTTTTTGAGATAGAGTCTCACTGACACTCAGGCTGGAGTGCAGTGGTGCGATCTCAGCTCACTGCAACTTCCGCCTCCCGGGCTCAGGCTATTCTCGTGCCTCAGCCACCCTAGTAGCTGGGATTGTAGGCGTGTGCCACCACACCTGGCAAATTTTTGTATTTTTAGTAGAGATGGGGTCTTGCCATGTTGACCAGGCTGATCTCGAACTCCTGGCCTCAAGTGATCCGCCTGCCTCAGCCTCCCAAAGTGCTGGGATTGCAGGTGTGAGCCACCGTGCCTGGCCCTTTTCATGTCCTTACTGACCATTTGGATATCTTCATTTGCCCATTTTTTTGTGCTTTGTTGTTTTGTAAAAGCTATTTAATTTTTTAAATTTTATGAGAAGGCTAAAAATGTGAAATATCTCTTAGGTTCAATTTCTTAGTAAGGGCACCAAATCTAGGGAATGCTTTTTGAGGAGTAAGTTTCTAAAATAAGTTAGAATTTGAATGTTAAGACTTTAGTAATAACAAGAGTTGCAAGTTAAGTGTATCCATTCTTTAAAGTATAATAGGGTTTTTCACTCCTGTATTGTTGCTTTTTGAAAAAGCTCATCCCTAAACTGTTCAGAAAGTAAAGTAGATATTATTCTTTCCTCTTGCTCTGCTGGATCTTCCTTAGTGTGTTCAAATTTTTCTCCTGTAATTCATTTCCCAACTCCGCCTCTGCCGGTATTTATAGTACCCACACTGCTGGGAGCCAGGGTTCAAAAGGCAAAGAGTAGCTGGTCTCTGCTCCAAGCAGCTTACATCTAATTAACTCCCATGTCTTGATTCTCACATTTCTATGGTTCCCTTGCTTTTGTCATTTTACTCTTTCTTTGTTTTCTACCTGGCTTCAAATCCTTTTCTGTGTACTCATCTCTCTGCCCACCTCCAGCCTCCCCCATCCCTGTCCATGCTATAAATCAAAGAAGATGACCCAGGCAAGTCTCAATCATTGTAGATTTATTTGCCAAAGTTAAGAACGCAAGCCCAGGAGACAGGTCTATACCTTTCTCCAAAGACGATTTTGAGGGCTTCAGTATTTAAAGGGTAAGATCTGAGAGCAAATAAAAGGGGAAAAAATAATAAAAGGAAAAGGAAAAAAAATTTACAGGGGAAAGGGTGGATATTGGAGGAAAAGAAATATGTTTTAAATGTTTCAATAGATAAAAAGACAAAACAGTTGCATCCTTTCGAGTCTTTGATCAGTCTTTCACTGAATACTCAATTTTCATATTGGGGATTGGAGAAAATAGTTCTTCATGTTTCACCTGGCCCAGTGAACTGCATTTTACATTAGATAATGTAGACAACAGTAGGGCAGAGGAAGCATCAAATATGCATTTATTTCAGGTGAGCAGAGGGATGACTTAGAGTTCTGTCCTGTGTCCTCCATGTGTGAAGATAAGCTATCAATTGACATTGCCAGGGTGAAATTCAACACAACTGTTTTAAGGTGAAGACCATGAGCCCACAAGGAATTTCCTAGTGGGCAAAATGTGAGGGAGATATGTAGCTTTTTATCTTTGTAGCCATCTTATTTAGGAACCAAATGGGAGGCAGGTTTGCGGGACCCATTTCCCAGCTTGACTTTTCCATTTGGCTTAGTGAGTTCGGGGTCCTGAGATTTATTTTCCTGTCACAATGCATAGACTTTTTTTTTTTTGCTGCAAGCAGCTATTTTTATCATTAATCCATGAGATTCATGTTTAAGAGTCTGCAACAGCTCTAAGATTATGTTCATTCTCTACTTAGCACTGTGTGGGTGAATCCCACAACACTCAGATAATCTTGGTCTCCAACTCCTCGTAAAACATACTGTGATTGACAGGCTGGTCTCCCAACTCCATTCTCCACCTCTTATTCTGCAGTTCTTCACACTCATAAAGGGTGTGTACGCACACATGTAACCACATACAAGAGCAATGATTCTCACTTAGAATCATAGGGCATCACAACTGGAAGGGATCTTAGAAACCAATCTACTACTACTTAGAAACTAATCTACTGATAAAAGTGAAAACTGAGGCACAGAGAAAAGTGAAGGGACTTGCCTAAGGTCATATGGTTAGTTAATGGTAGGGCAGAAACCAGAGCCCAGGCTTTTTTTTTCCCCTCAAGATTTGGTGTGCCTGCTGCCATCTTTACTACTGTGGCCTCTGTTCACGCTATTCCTATTCCACAGTGGAAGCTCTCTGCTTTTCAGCTTCTGCCTTCAAGGCCCAGCCCAATTCCTACTCTTGTGAGTCCTTCCTCAAATACTTTGCTTACATCAATTTCCCCTTTATCTAAACTTCCTTAATTATGAGTGGTCACTACCATCTTGCTTATCACATGATCTCCTGTTATTTCTCGTATTTAATTCTCTATTCTTTCACTAAATTTAACTTTTCAGATTAATAGTAGATCATCTCTAGGATCCTCTAAAGCACCTAGCATGGGGTAGGAATTCAGTAAATGCTTATTGGCTAAGTGGTTTCTTTAAAGCCCTTGTTTCTTTATCTTCTAGAGTTGTTTCTCTTACTGGTTCTGTAAGAAAATTACTATAAGAAAACTCAGGCTGGGTGTGGTGGCTCATGTCTGTAATCCCAGCACTTTGAGTGGCCGAGGTGGGCAGATCATTTGAGGTCAGGAGTTCGAGACGAGCTTGGCCAACATGGTGAAACCCCATCTCTACTAAAAATACAAAAATTAGCCCGGTATGGTGGCGCACACCTGTACTTCCAGCTACTCAGGAAGCTGAGGCAGGAGAATCACTTGAACCCGGGAGACAGAGGTTGCAGTGAGTGGAGATCACACCACTGCACTCCAGCCTGGTTGACAGTGAGACTCCATTTCAAAAAACAAAAAAAAAAAAAAAGGAAAACTTGTGTAGTAGTTTGAGAATTTTTTTTCCTCTTCCTGTGTTCTTATAATGTAAAGTCCTCTTCTCCTTAAAGGTTTATGTGTTTATAGCTGAATTTTCTCTAAGATTCTATGTTTACATTTGACCTTTGTCATTAAAAATCTATGGGTAAACTAATACTTCTCTTAATATGCATAAGTAATGCAAATTATCCTTTCCCCAGAGGCAATGCCACTTGCTTTGCTTATGGACAGACAGGTGCTGGAAAGACCTACACCATGATAGGAACTCATGAGAACCCAGGATTGTATGCTCTAGCTGCCAAAGATATCTTCAGGCAACTAGAAGTGTCCCAGCCAAGAAAGCACCTCTTTGTGTGGATCAGCTTCTATGAAATTTACTGTGGACAGCTTTATGACCTCCTAAATAGAAGAAAAAGGTACTGAATATGAGTGGGAAGCGATAAATCTGTTCATCGCTATTTTAAGCCAGAGTCCCGGAGAATCACTGAATCATAGGCTTTAATGAGATGCTTTGGTACATTAGTGCCCTTTTGTGAAATGAGGCTCCTGCATCAGATACATATTTTCTAGCTGTCAATTCAGCTATAGGAAAATGTAAATTAGCTTTTCATTAATATTTTTTAAAGTGTTCAATATTCTAATGTCTATCAAAAGACTTTCCCTTTTATTTTGGTCTATGAAGAAGGTCATAATTTCAGGAAGTCAGGAAATCAACACGTACTTAAACCCCTTCCTGTTCTTTTGACCTATTATTATACTGGAAAAACTATAAATAATGTTTTCTACTTTCTCTTGTTTTTCCTCTAAATAATCTTAGGGTAAACACCATGATAGTTTTCTGAAATCAATAAGAAGAAAAGAAAATCTTCTCTTTAGAGTTTTAACCCTTGTTAGGCTTAAACTATTGCTCTTGCAACATAATATAGTAATTTAGAAATGTATTCAGTAACTCTGCTTTTAAACACCTATTATATTTTTCTTGCATGAAGTTTTGTTTAGGTTGAAACAGATGACTTAAACTGAGTAGGAGGCAAAAGAAGTTGTGGAGGAAATGGGAGAATAGAGGTTAGAGGGAATGGGGGAGGTGGAAGGATTAAAGGCTGTCATAACAGAATTAACCAGATTTGAGATGTTGGAGGAGTGAATTGAGGCTGAGCCTCCTGGAAGACTAGGGAAACCTAATCAGCTTGAGACTAGCCCGGCAACAAAGGTATCTAAGCCTCTATGGAGCTGTCCAAAAGGATGCACAAGTTTTGCATGCTCCAAGCAAGCAATGGAATGGGGAGTGGGGGAGCAGTTCCAGTTCAATAGGGAGACCATGATAGGGCAGGCCCCCATTGTAGAGGGTCAGTAGGGTACTGAGTAGCATAACTGGAGAAGCCAGCGAGTGGGCTTAGGCAGGCCTCTCTCCTATAACTATTCCAGTGAAAAGGGGACCTTCAGATATGCCACTTGAGATTGTATAGGTGTTCAGAATTCAGTCCTGACCAAACAACTGCGAAATAAAAGAGGGTGCTACTCTGGGGATGCTTGAGGAAGAGTTGCCTTTCTTTTTTACCTTCTTGGTGTTGAAGTCTCGAATTAGCTCAATCACAGCTTCTCCATCAAGCTCCAATGCCCTCATTAGGAGCCCTTTCCAGTCAGAATGCCCACTTCCCTTAAAGAACAATTGCCATGGAATAAAAGCCACTGTGCTGTGTGTGTGTGTGTGTGTGTGTGTGTGTGTGTGTGTGTGTGTGTGGTTTATTTGGGTGAAGGGAGGTTAGGATATCTAGCTCTTTCTGAACGCATTTCTTTAATGAATTGCCCAGATTATTTTATTGCCCTGTATATTTGCATTCCTCAGTTGTAGCAGGGGAATAGGCATATATTAACTCTTGGGTTTGATGCTTCTCTGAGGCTCACTAGGGAAGACCTATGCTTACTCTACAAGTGTCATGGCCTGTGGGGTTCATGTATATATATATATATCCATTTAATTGTCTAATCTAATCTATTTCCTACCTTTCTGGGGCTTCTGAAATGTTCTGGTCCATTGATGGCACCCTTTCCTGTTTATGCTGTTATGCTTTACCCTGTTGATTTTTTTTTTTTCTTTTTCTGAGGCAAGGTATTGCTCTGTCGCCCAGGCTGGAGTACAGTGGTGCCACCACAGCTCACTGCAGCTTCATCCTCCTGGGCTGAAGTGATCCTCCCATCCCAGCCTCCCAGGTAACTGGGACTACAGGTACATGCTACCATGCCCTGCTAATTTTTATTTTTTGTAGACACAGGGTCTCCCTATGTTACTTACCCAGGCTGTTCTCAAACTCCTGGGCTCAAACAATCCTCCTCTCTAGGCCTCCCAAAGTGTTAGGATTACAGGTTTCAGCCACTGTGCCTGACCAATTTTTAAATAAGATTTATTTTCTATAATAGTGGGGCTTTGACAAGGGTAGACAAAAGTATGTATGTTCAGTGTGCCTCTTAAACTGGAAAACAAAGCTTAAGGATCTTGAAATTAATTCCTAGAAGTAGAGGATAAATTGTTTTTATACCTTGCATAAAAGCTGAAGTACATTTTAGGCTGTCCATGAGGAATCTTTCTGGGGTGGGCTCAGAGATTAAGGCCTGGGAAATATGTTCAGGAATGACAGCAGGGCTCTAAAAGTTAGATCTTCCTTTTTTTTTTTTTTTTTTAAACAGAGATGGGCTCTTGCTGTGTTACGCGGCTGTAACATAGTGACTATTCACAGGCGCAATCATAGCGTACTACAGCCTCAAACTCCTGAGCTCAAGCAATCCTCCTGCCTCAGCCTTCTGAATAGCTGGGACTACAGACACACACCACTGCATCCAACGGCTAGATTCTTTTACTCTAGAAGGCTGACTGTTTTAATAGATTTGTTTTCAGAGAGATGATGGGCATTGGTGAGGCTGTTTCCCTCCAATCCTTCTGTAGAGATCTGGAAAACTGGGATGAAGCATAGACTGAGAAAAAAATTATTTTTGAGAAAATCATTCTTGTATTTTAAGTTATGAAGTGGAATTCCGTTCTTAACCCTAATCAGTATCTTATTAAGAGGGAAAAATAATCTTAGAGTCTTTGATAGATTCAACATATGCCTCTCAGTGGATCTGGTTTAATGATGATGGTAGACCATAACCATTTATTACCTTGAATGCAGTCCTAAGGCATTCAGATGCAGCCCAGCTCTTCCTTGCTCCTTTATAAGATGTATCAGGTCTCTTTACATTGCAAATAAAAGAAAACCCCATGTGTACTAGCTTAAGCATTTAGGGAAATCATTGGCTCAAATAACTGGAAAGCTTAGAGGACAGTCAGGCTTCAGCATTGGTTTACTCCAGCAGCTCAGGGATGCAATAAGGACCCAGTTTATTTGCATCTCTTCATTCTGTCTTCTGTGTTATTAGTTTCATCCTGAAGCCAACTCTCTTTGTAGATACAAAATGGCTTCCACTGCTCCCAGGGCCACAGGGCCATATGCTTTCACATCCAGGGACAGAGAGAGAGCATCACTTCACCAGGCATCTAACAACCAGAGACCAGGACTTTACTTTGATTGGACCAGCAGAGATCCCATATCCACCTCTGAACAAATCACAGTATAGCCAGGTGTACATCATCCACTGATTAGCATAGTTTAGATATGTGCTCATTCTTTTAATTGTAGCCAGAGTTGTTGATTTATTTTACAACAATCAACAACCACCCCTGAATCGGGCTGAGGTCAGGAGGGTGGGGTTGGGAGGAGGATAAGCATCCATCCCACTCAAACAGAAAACTGCTACTTAATAGAGGAATGGTGGAATGGTTTCTGGGGAGGCAAGAACAAAGTCTGTTTTAGTAGCACCATCATACCAACCACTTTCTTGCATCTGCAGGCTCTTTGCAAGAGAAGATAGCAAGCACATGGTGCAGATAGTGGGACTGCAAGAGCTTCAGGTGGACAGTGTGGAGCTCCTCTTAGAGGTAATTAATTCTTCCTTCTTTATTACCCCACCACAACAGTGTAAGTACAGGGAACAAATTCATTTTGCTACTAAGCAAGTACTGTGGACTTATATTTAGGCAAAGGGCAATGACAAGCCCACCACTTCCCATCTGTAAAATGTGAATTCTTTTCTGAGAGGATAGCTTGTTTCTCTATAGGGTTTCTCCCACGATTAGTGGGAGGTAGGGCATGTGGGAGAACTTAATTCATTGGGAGGATACTACTGGGCCAGTTTCTTTTTGTTGTTGTTGTTGTTGTTTTGAGATGGAGTCTCGCTCTGTCACCCAACCTGGAGTGCAATGGCACAATCTCTGCTCACTGCAACCTCTGCCTCGTGGGTTCAAGCAATTCTCCTGCCTCAGCCTCCTGAGTAGCTGAGATTACAGGCTCCCACCACCACACCTGGCTAATTTTTGTATTTTTAGTAGAGACAGGGTTTCACCATGTTGGCCAGGCTGGTCTTGAACTCCTGACCTCAGGTGATCCACCCGCCTCGACCTCCCAAAGTGCTGGGATTACAGCCGTGAGCCACCGCACCCAGCCTTATTGGGCCAGTTTCAAATGCTGCTAATGTGTTTCTCTATGGCAGTGGGCTCTGGGAAAAGCTGCTGGAGACAAATATTTGCACTTTAAATTCTTTTTACTTTTTTTTTTTTTTTTTTTTAAGCAACAGGGTCTTGCTCTGTTGCCCAGGCTGGAGTATAGAGGTGTAGTCATAGCTCACCGCAGCCTCCCACTTCAGCCTCCCAAGTAGCTGGGGACTGCAGGCACATGCCACCACACCTGGCTAATTTTTTTTTAATTTTTTTTTTTTTTTTTTGAGATGGAGTCTCACTTTGTCACCTAGGCTGGAGTGCAGTGGCGCAATCTCTGCTCATTGCAAGCTCTGCCTCCCGGGTTCATGCCATTCTCCTGTCTCAGCCTCCCAAGTAGCTGGGACTACAGGCACCCGCCACCACGCCCAGCTAATTTTTTGTATTTTTTAGTAGAAACGGGGTTTCACCGTGTTTGCCAGAATGGTCTCGATCTCCTGACCTCATGATCCGCCCACCTTGGCCTCCCAAAGTGCTGGGATTACAGGCGTGAGCCACCACGCCCTGCCAGACCTGGCTAATTTTTAAAAATTTTTTGTAGAGATGGTGTCTTGCTGTGTCGCCTAGGGTGGTCTCGAACTCCTGACCTCAAGCAGTCCTCTCACCTTGGCCTCTTAAAGTGCTAGGATTACAGGCGTGAGCCACCGCACCTGGCCCTTATTTTAAATACAATTTTTAATAAGTAATACTATCACATGAGTTCAGAATTCAAAAGTGAAAATACCCACTTCCATTTCCTTTTCCAGAGCAACTAATTTTATTAGTTTTTTGTGTGTCCTTCCAAAGGAATTTTTCAATCTGCTTCTTTTATTAAGTTATTCTTTTATTGTAATAAAAGTCATACTTATCATTAAGTTTAAACATTACAGAAATATGTAAGAAGATAGTAAAGGCCCCTCTAACTTACTATACATACCCCACTTCCCCTGTTCCCCACTGAGCTATCCACTGTCCACGGTAAAATATTTAATTTTTTTTTCCTGTTCTGGGCATTTATTAACGTAAGTACAAATAGATTTCTGTTGAACCTTCCTTTAATGCAGTGTTCCTCAACCCTGGCTTTACATTAGATTGTTTGGAGCCTTTTTTTCCTTACTTAAAAAATGATTTAACCTTTTTTATTGTGAAAAATAGCACTATACAGAAAAATGCATAAAACCTAAGTATGTACAGTATAAAGAAACAAGCACCCTTGTAATCAGCTACTCAGATCAAGAAATAGAACATTGTAGCACCCTACAAACCCCCTGTGTGACTTTCCAATAACACCCCCCTATTATCCTGACTTTTGTGCTGATCACTTTCTTGTTATTTGTTATAGTTTTACCACCTATGTATTTATCCCCAAACCATCTAAGTTAGTTTTCATCTGTTTTTGAACTTTGCTTGAGTAGAACTACACTGTGTATTTTTTGGTGTTTTGTTTCTTTTGCTCAATATTATGCTTTTCAGTTCCATTGAGGTTTTTGCATTTGGCTTTAGTTTTCTTCATTTTTATTTTCTGTAGAGTGTTTTATCATAGGAATATACCACAATTTATCCATTCTCCTGTTAATAAACAACTGGGGTTGTTTCTATTTTAGAGTTATTTGGAGCATTGCAGCTGTGAGTGTGCTTATACATGTATTTCTGTACAGAGCACATGGGTTGTCTAGGATATATACCTAGCTGTGAAATGATTAGGTCAGATGATATGCTTTTTCTTTTTTTATTATTTTTATTTTTTTCTAGAGACAGGGTCTTGCTCTGTCCAGCCCAGGCTGGAGTCCAGTGGCATGAACACATGGCTCACTGCAGCCTTGACCTCCTGGGCTCAAGCAATCCTCCTACCTCAGCTTCCCAAGTAGCTGGGACCACAAGCATATGCCACCACACTTGGCTAATTTTTTTATTCTTTGTAGAGACAGGGTCCTACCATGTTGCCCAGGCTGGTCTCAAGTTCCTGGGCTCAAGCAATCCTCTCACCTCAGCCTCCCAAAGTGTTAGGATGACAGGCACAGTGGCCCATATTTTCAGCTACACTAAATGCTGCCGACTGTTTCCCAGAGTGGTGTGCATTCCTACAAGCAGTATATGAGCAATCCCGTTGCTCTTCATCTTGCAGACACTTTCAATTGATAGATATTTTGAATTTTTGCCAGTCTGGAGTGTTTAATTATATTTTATTGTGGGGTTTTAATTTGCATTTCCCTGATTGAGAATAAAATTGAATATTTTCTCATATTTTTAACTTGTAATTTGGAGTTCCTCTTTTGGGAATGCCAGTTTGGGTCTTTTCCTCATCTTGGGTTATCTGTCTTTTCCTTGTCGATTTGTATATTCCGGATATGAGTCTTGTTGGTTATTTGTATCATAAGCATGTTGTCTCATTCTGTGGCTTGTTTTCCCAGTTTCATCATAATGTCTTTTAATGCTTGCTTGTGTCGTCCTCAAGTCAATTAAATCAGAATCCCTCAGGAGTGGGGCCCAGGTGTGGGTATTATTATTATTTTAAATTAAAATGTAGTTCATATACCGTAACATTCACCTTTTTTAAAGTGTATGATCCACTAGTTTTCTTAATATAATTTTCTTATTGAGATATAATTTACATACCATAATATTCATTCTTTTTTTATTTTTTATTTTTGAGACAGGGTCTCACTCCTATTGCCCAGGCTGGAGTGCATTGGCGCGATTTCAGCTCACTGCAGTCTCAGTCTCCCTGGGCTCAGGTGATCCTTCCCACCTCAGTCTCCTGAGTAGCTGGGACTACAGGTGTGTGCCACTACACCCGGCTAATTTTTTTGGCATTTTTAGTAGAGATGGGGTTTCACCATGTTGCACAGGCTGGTCTCAATCTCCTGGACTCAAGCAATCCTCTCACCTTGACCTCCCGAAGTGCTGGGATTACAGGCATGAGCCACCATGTCCGGCCATAATATTCTTTTTTTTTTTTTTTTTTTTTTTGAGACGGAGTTTTGCTCTTGTCGCCCACGCTGGAGTGCAATGGCTCGATCTGGGTTCACTGCAACCTCTGCTTCCCAGGTTCATGTGATTCTCCTGCCTCAACCTCCTGAGTGGCTGGGATTACAGGCTCCTGCCACCATGCCCACCTAATTTTTGTATTTTTAGTAGAGACGGGGTTTCACCATGTTGTCCAAGCTAGTCTCGAATTCCTGACCTCAAGTGATCCACCAGCCTTGGCCTCCCAAAGTGCTGGGATTAGAGGCATGATGCACTGCGTCCCGCTCAGTTTTTTAAAGCATACAATTCATTGTTTCTCAGTCTTTTGGCTAAGATCAAATGTAGTATCTTTTTTTTTTTTAAGACCAGTGGTTCAGAATAGAAAGTGTAGTATCTTTTCTCAGCAGTTTAACATGTTCTATTCAAGGACAACCTATTAAATGGATTTTTGGAACAGGGAGATGGAGTAGGAGCTTGCTCTGTCCGCTCCATGCATTGACTTGGTAGTGCAAGACCTCCAGGAATGGTGCATCCTCCCTGAGGGATTTTTTTTTTAAGTATACAATTCAGTGATTTTTTAAAAGTATATTCATGAAGTTATGCAACCATTGTCACTATCTAATTGCAGAAAACTTTCATCACCCCAAAATGAAACTCCATTAGCAGTTACTCCCTATTTCTCCTGCCCCCAGTGCCTGGCAACCACTAATTTCTATCTCTGTGGATTTGCCAATTCTGTCCGTATCATATAAACAGAATTATACAATATGCAACCTTTTGTCTGGCTTCTTTCACTTAGTTTATTTTCAGAGTTCATTCATGTTGCAGCATGTATCAGGACTTCATTCCTTTTTGTGGCTGAATAATATTACATTGTATGGATACCTCATTTTATTTATCCATTCATCAGTTGATAGACATTTGGGTTGTTTCCACTTTTGGTCATTATGAATAATGTTGCTGTGAACATTCATGTACAAAGGTTTTTGTGTGGACAAGTGTGTTCCATTTTCTTGGGTGTATGCCTAGGAGTGAAATCGCTGGGCCATACTTTTTTTAGGAAATGCCACACTGTTTTCCAAAGTGACTTTACCATTTTATACTCCCACCAGCAGTATGAGGATGGGTATTATTTTAAAAGCTCCCCAGGTGATTCTAACATGCAGCCATCGCAGTCTTTCTTCTAGTACATCCAACAAGCCTGGCTAGAGTAAAAGGGAGAGGACTAGAAGGATAGGCCAGGCACTTAACAAGACTTAGCTTAGTATAGCTTCATGGTACACTCCTCCAGGGAGAAGTATCTGAGTCTTCAACCAAGCTTAAGAGACCAGGGAAAGCAGTCAGGTTTGGCATTGTAGAAATGCCTCCAGCGAATGCCAAAGTTCAAGCCTCTCTAGCTGATTCTACTCTTGATCTTTCCTGCCTTCCTTTTCACTGTGTTCTAATAATAATTGCAAATGTTTAGTGAGCACTATCTACCAAATGCTTTGTTAGAGGTTTTTGCAAATATTACCCCATTTAGTCATCACAAAATCAAGGTAAATATTGTAAACTTCTCTAAGAGGTGAAAATACTGAGGTTAAAATCAAGTGATAACCCAGAATCACATAGCTAACAGCTGGCAGAGCAAGATTTCAGCTTGGATTGATCTCACTCTGAAGCCTTTTTCACGATACTCTACTACCTATAGTGTATAATTAGAAATCAGTTTTTCTTAAGAAATTAAGAGAGGCCAGGCATGGTGGCTTACGCCTGTAATTCCAGCACTTTGGGAGGCCGAGGCTGGAAGGTCATTTGAGGTCAGGAGTTTGAAACCAGCCTGGCCAACATGATGAAACCCCACCTCTACTAAAAATACAAAAATGAGCCGGGTATGGTGGTGGGCGCTTGTAATCCCAGCTACTTGGGAGGCTGAGGCAGGAGAATTGCTTGAGCCCGGAAGGCAGAGGTTGCAGTGACCAGAGATCGTGCCATTGCACTCCAGCCTAGGCAACAGAGCAAGACTCCATCTCAAAAAAGAAAGAAGAGAAAAGACACTCACTGAATGAATTAATACATTGATAACAATGTCTTCTGTTATCATTTGCCTAAAACTAGGTGTTTAAAGGACTGTTTAATCTTCAAATAACAGGGTTTGTGGAAAATTTTGTTGTTGCTTTTTCAAAATTAATACTTGGGACTTGGGTGTGTGCAGTGGCATGGTGGCCCATCATTGGTATATATCTTTTTCTAAGTTTCTTTTTCCTGAGACAAATACTGTAGTTAAATTTTGCTTAAGGGATGACACTTCACGTTTGCGTTATTAGATTCCTGGGTCCTGGGATCCAAAACCTGAGTATAGCGCCCGAGTGTGTCTGTTTTAGTGCAATCACTAAGAGCCTCTTTCTAGTGATTGCAAAGGTAGGTACAGAACAAAAGTGTGTGGGGCATGCTGAAGGGCTGCCCTGGGGCTGTGACCATTCTCCCCAGAGCTTCCTCTGCTGTGGAGTCCTAAGGAAATTGTTTCTCATACTCTGTTCCCTGTGGTCCTCTTGCCCCTACCTCCAGCCACTCCCACATTTGGCCAGGAGCATCAGGTGAGTCTGGTCCTCAGGATTCCTTTGTCACTGAAGATTAGACCAATTAAAGGCGAAAGAAGCAAACACTCAGAAGAAGACTCTTCATTGCCTTTAGACTGTAAATGCTGGCAGTCTGGTGTTGAGTCAACCCCTGCATCCTGGAAGAGTTTATGGCACTGTTCTTTTTTTTTTTTTTTTTTTTTTTTTTTTTTTTGAGACGGAGTCTCGCCCTGTCGCCCAGGTTGGAGTGCAGTGGCGGGATCTTGGCTCACTGCAAGCTCCGCCTCCCGGGTTCACGCCATTCTCCTGCCTCAGCCTCCCAAGTAGCTGGGACTACAGGCGCCCGCCACTACGCCCGGCTAATTTTTTGTATTTTTAGTAGAGACGGGGTTTCACCGTTTTAGCCGGGATGGTCTCGATCTCCTGACCTCGTGATCCGCCTGCCTCGGCCTCCCAAAGTGCTGGGATTACAGGCGTGAGCCACCGCGCCCGGCCGGCACTGTTCTATTCTAAAGTATGGTTCCTAAGAAAATCAGAAAAAAAGTTCCTTGTTAGTCAACATATTATCGCCATTGATACCCTCAGTCTGCAGGACATATGGTGTTGTACAAGGAGGAAGCCAGCTGAGATCAAGGTGGAAAGCTTATATAATTTATGGATACCTGACACAGTTATCCTCATAAATAAATATTTATTGACTTGAAACAACAGCACTTGCTAACTCAGGTGTCACATTTCACTCTCAGGTGTCACTGTTCATACTCGCTCAGGTATCACCCATGTGTTTGCTCAAGTGTCATCTTGGAGTATTACCCTCTCAGATCACCCTCAGGATTACTCAGGCATGGCCTGCCTGCACAACTGGTAGCTTCATTATTCAAATGGGATTGTCCTTCCTCCAGGAAGTTTCTCCTTCCCAGTGTATTTGATTTCTTGCCAACGCAGGCACCAGAACTTCCTGCCTTTACAGAGGACTCACTGCCTCATCACATTTCCCAGATTTGGAATCGAGATTTTGTCAGACAATTAATGGGCATGTTTTTCAGTTTTAGAGATTCACAATTTTTTACAGTCATTCCTATACCCATTTTATATAGTCAGAGGTATTCATTCCTAGGAATTTTGATAAACTTGTTTCATGTTTTATCATTGCCTTGGCTGTAATGGGCAGCCAGTTACAGTGCCATGTATCCTTAAGCACATCCTTTATCTCTCTGAGCCTGAAACATGTAGATAATGATAGATGATTGGGTTGGATGATGGGGAGAAGGAAGTGAGATGACATACATAAAATTTATAGTATGATGCTGGCTCAACTTTCCACATGTATTATTCTTATTAAGTCCCTGAATGATGTTTCCCAGCACCACCACAGTTTTTCGTTTTGTTTTTTTGAGGTAGAGTCTCACTCTGTCACCTAGGCAGGAGTGCAGTGGTGCAATCACGGGTCACTGCAACCTCAACCTTCTGGGCTCAAGCGATCCTCCCACTTCAGCCTTTGAGTAGCTAGGACCACAGGTGTTCACCACTACACCTGGCTAATGTTTTTAAAAAATTTGTGTAGGTGTTGCCCAGATTGGTCTTGAACTTCTGGGCTCAAGTGATCCTCTATCTCAGCCTCCCAAAGTGCTGGGATTACAGGCATGAGCCACCACACCAGGCCCAGTTATCATTACTTCCTATTGTAGCAGATTCCCATTTTACTATTCACGTAATATGTTCTCTCTAGAGAACCTAGATTTAGAAACTTGCCCAACAGAGTTTAGTTAGGGAAGGAGTTTGAGAAGGAGGAGGCAGTGAGAGGAAAAGGGAGCTTAGTAGTTTTAAAGGTGATTGCATTAATTTTGCTCACCTCCTACAGTTGCATTTCCCCCAAATAGATTCTCTCTTTCTCTTATCTGCTTCCTTCCTTTTTTTTTTTTTTTGGTTTGCTCTAGGGAGCCCATGATATTTCATGTTGATCTCTAAAGCTATATTTTTCCATGAAACTGATTGTTTTACATTTATGAAAAAAAGAAATAGTTTAAGTTTTAGAAGTTTACACAAAGATGTTAGTTCGTTAGTATCTTTTCTTTTTGTTTTGTTTTTGAGATGGAATTTTGCTGTCTTGTCCAGGCTGGAGTGCAGTGGCATGATCTTGACTCACCGCAACCTCTGCCTCCCAGGTTCAAGGGATTCTCCTGCCTCAACCTCCTGAGTAGCTGGGATTATAGGTGCCCACTACCCACGCCTGGCTAATTTTTGTATTTTTAGTAGAGATGGGGTTTCACCAGGTTGGCCAGGCTGGTCTCGAACTCCTGACCTCAGGTGATCCACTCACCTCGGCCTCCCAAAGTGCTGGGATTACAGACGTGAGCCACCGTGCCCGGCCAATTTTTGTATTTTTAATAGAGATGGGGTTTCACCATGTTGGCAAGGCTGGTGTCAAACTCCTGACCTCAGGTGACCGCCCTTCTCAGCCTCCCAGAGTGCTGGGAGTACAGGCGTGAGCCTCTGTGCCCGGCCATAATTCCCATTTTATAGATAAGAAACTGAGACCCTTAAAAGTTAAGTGACTTGCGGTAGTCTACACAACCACATGGTAGAGCTGGCATGTGAACCCTGGCAACCTGACTCCAGATTTCACCGTTTTAACTGCTATACTTCAGTTGTGTATGTCATTTACAAAAATGTGATGACTTTGATATTCACAGACTGCCTCATTTTTACTCTTCATAGCTCAGGTGCATTATTATATAGTTTCTGGAAGGCATGACTACAGCAAGCTGTTATTGGAAAAAATTGGCCCAAGGACCAGAAACTCCTCATGCCTTCTCTAAAATATATTTAACCAGGAAAGGGCATCTCAACATGTTAGGTCTCTGAGATGCACTTAGAGATACCCAGTACATTATGGTGTACAAGATGCAGTGAAAACCCAAGTTCAAAAGTCTGTAACACAATCTCAGAAGCCAATCTTTTTTGACACTCTTGAGGAAGAACCACAGGGCCGCCCTTTGCATTTCCTGTTCATATCCACGTTTCCTTGTGAAGTATGGTCTTGAGGCCTCTCTGAGCTCTCACTAGGTCTCAGTGGACTAGCATCATTAGTAACATCATTACTCACATGTAGAAGAGGATATCTGGCTTCTATTCCTGGCCTGACAATATTCTACCTATGTGACCTTGTATAAGTCACTTAGCTTCTCTGTGTTCCTTATTAGTCAGACATATTGCTTTTACAAATGTAAAGGTTTAAGACCTCCCTTGTCTTTTCATAGGATTTGTAAATGACAAAAAAAAAGACCTGTAAGAAATCTAAAACTCTAAAAGGAAATATACCAGAATTTTATAATCACTGGGATTATGAGAGATATATATTCTCTTCTTTATCCTTTTCCTATATTTTCCAAGTTTTCCACAGTAAGTTTGTCTTTTCTAATGAAGAAAAAAAAGAGTTTGAGAAAGGAACGATACCAATCTATGATGATCCATCAGCATCGCATCCCAGCCTGTGTAAACATGAAGTGAAAGGGACAGGGAGAAGCCAGGGCCAGAAAGTGCATTTAAACCAGATGGTTCAGTCACAGCGCTGGCCTTAAGTGTCTTACCCAGCATCTGAGCTTAGTTAGCAGTGCTTTTTTCTCAGCACTTGCCATATCCAGTATAAGAGATTACCACTGTAGCTCTTATGATTTCATTAGCTTAAAGGTGGTAGCCATATAGTTGATGATCTAGCTTTATAAATTAGCAGTCTTCTCTTTACAAAAGGATTCATCATGTTGTCTCTTTAAATTTTTAGCAAACTTTTTACAAAATGGGTGTATTTAAGTATGATTCTGAATTTTGATTTTACATCTCACATACAGATAATCTTTAGAAACATACTATTGCTTAGATCATGGAAAAAATATTTTTAGTTAATTAAATTTCTAAAAAGCAACCACTACTACTTGTTAAGATATTTTATGTCTTATTGTTGAAGTTTGGCTCTGTCAACTTTTGGATTCTTAATTTGGAAACTGTGACTATGTTCAATATGATATAAATTAAAATGGTGAGAGATTGAGAAAAAATGAAATAGGACTTTCTTATTCTTTTTTTTTTTTTTTTTTTGAGATGCAGTTTCACTCTTGTCCCCCAGGCTGGAGTGCAATGGCACGATCTCAGCTCACTGCAACCTCCGCCTCCTGGGTTCAAGCAATTCTGCTGCCTCAGCCTCCTGAGTAGCTGGGATTACAGGTGCGCACCACCATCCCTGGCTAATTTTTTGTATTTTTAGTAGAGACGGAGTTTAACCACATTGGTCAGGCTGGTCTCGAACTCCTGACCTTGTGATCCTCCCACCTCAGCCTCCCAAAGTGCTCGGATTATAGGCGTGAGCCACCGTGCCCAGCCTCATTATTCTTAATTCACTGCAAAATAAATGAATTTATTGTAAGTGCCCCACAGTGTAGTGAAAAATACATGGACTTTGGAGTCAGATGTACTGGATGTGGAATTTGGCTCTGCCACACAGCAGATGTTTGACTATGAATAAATCAACCTGAGTTTGTTCCTCAACTGGAGATGTTGAACAAACTCAGAGGAACAAACTCAAGAGGTTGTTAGGTGGAGATAATCTTTGTATTCGCCTAACATTAGGCTGTGGTGAGGATTCTATCAAATAATTTTTTTTTTTAGACAGACACTCGCTCTGTCACCAGGATGGAGTGCAGTGGTACAATCTTGGCTCACTGCAACCTCCGCCTCCTGGGTTCAAGCTATTCCCCTGCCTCAGCCTCCCAAGTAGCTGGGACTACAGGCGTGCATCACCATGCCCAGCTAGTTTTTTGTATTTTTAGTAGAAATGGGGTTTCACCATGTTAGCCAGGACGGTCTCGATCTCCTGACCTCGTGATCCACCCGCCTTGGCCTCCCAAAGTGCTGGGATTACAGGTGGGAGCCACTGTGCCTGGCCCAGTTATTCTTTTTTTAATTTGTAGAGATGAGGTCTTGCTTTGTTGCGCAGGCTGGTCTCAAACTCCTGGGCCCAAGCGATCCCTACCTCAGCCTCCCAAAGTTCTGGGATTACAGGCATAAGCCACCAGGCCTGGCCTCAAATAACACTGTTGTTGTTGTTTTTGAGACAGAGTCTTGCTTTGTTTCCTAGGCTGGAGTGCAGTGGTGCGATATCAGTTCACTACAACCTCCACCTCCCGGGTTCAAGCAATTCTCATGCCTCAGCCTCCTGAGTAGCTGGGACTACAAGTGTACATCACCATACCTGGCTAATTTTTGTATTTTTAGTAGAGATGGGGTTTCACCGTGTTGGCCAGGCTGGTCTCAAAGGCCTGCACTAAAGTGATCCACCTGCCTTAGCCTCCCAGACTGCTGGGATTACAGGTGTAAGCCACCATGCCCAGCCAATAAAATATTGTTGACTATAGTCACCCTGTTGTATTGTCAAATAGTAGGTCTTATTCATTATTTCTTTTTTTTGTGTACCTATTAACCACCCCTACATCCCCACTACCCTTCCCAGCCTCTGTGGTAACCATCCTTCTAGTGTCTATGTCCATGGGTTCAATTGCTTTGATTTTTAGATCACACACATAAGTGAGAACATGTGATGTTTGTCTTTCTATGCCTGGCTTATTTCACTTAACATAATGATCTCCAGTTCCATCCATGTTGTTGCAAATGACAGGATCTCATTCTTTTTCATGGCTGAACGGTACTCCATTGTGTACGAGCACCACATTTTTTTAATCCATCCTTGTTTAAGTTCTTTCACTTTACTCTTTTTTTTTTTCTTTGGAGACAGATTTTGCTCTTGTTGTTCAAGCTGGCGTGCAATGTTGCGATCTCGGCTCACTGCAACCTCCGCCTCCCGGGTTCAAGTGATTCTCCTGCCTCAGCCTCCCATGTAGCTGGGATTACAGGCATGTGCCACCACGCCTGGCTAATTGTTCTATTTTTAGTACAGACGGGGTTTCATCATATTGGTCAGGCTGGTCTCAAACTCTTGACCTCAGGTGATGCACCTGCCTCGGCCTCCCAAAGTGCTGGGATTATAGGTGTGAGCCACTGCACCTGGCCTATCCATTCATCTCTTGATGGACACTTAGGTTGCTTCCAAATCTTGGCTATTGTGAACAGGGCTGCAACAAACATGAGAGTGCAGATCTTGTTTATGTTTTACTTTCTGGGACATATCCTTAACTTACAACTTCAAAAAAAAACTACTAAATCTTACAACCTTTTATTTTATTTAATTTATTTTTCCCCCTGAACTTGATAGTAGGTGATTATTTTTTAAGAGATGGGATTTTTGTCCCCTAGGCTGGGGTGCAGCTTACTGCCTCAGCCTCCTGTCTGGGACTACAGGTGTGCACCACTATGCCCAGCTGATTTTTGTAGAGTTGGGGGTCTCACTGTTTGCCCAGGCTGGTCTTGAACTCCTGGGCTCAAGTGATCCTCCTGCCTCAGCCTCCCAAAGTGTTGGGATTACAAGCATGAGCCACCATGCCCAGCCTAAATCTTACTACCTTTTAAATACAATTTTTACTTTATCATATTTTAAATTTCCAAGTGCTTTGTCTATTCCCTCTTTTGGTTTGGTGTTTTCATGCTGGTGGCTTTGGCTTTCTATTCACGTTTAAGTATGAGGCACTAAAAAAATAACAGTCACAAAGTTTGTGTGTCAGAGGTGTGCTTGCTGATCATTAAGCTTCACTATAGGTTGAAAGTTAATTGGCTTTGCCGGGGAAGTCCCCAAAATGTAAACATGTGAAGGGCTTGGGTGAGGGTTTCTCCAGAGAATTCTGGCTGAGGACTGATGTTGGGGAATGCTGGTGTGTTGCTTTTACTTAATCCTTGTTTAAGTTCTTTCACTTCACTCTGCCCCACACTGTGCCTGGTGCTTAGTCCTCTTTGGTCTCTGGTTCCCATTTTCTGGAGACTATACCTTCTGCCTCCTGCACAGGGTGGGGATGAATGGGGACTGTTTCACCAAGGGCTTTACTGCTCTGATCACTGACTGTGTGTATCTTTGCCTTATCCCAACAGTACCTGGTGCTTCCAGAGTCTGAGCCCCTCTTAGGGATCCTAATGGGCTGATAGACTGACTCCCCCCTTTCCTACTTACTTACTTAGTTTATAACTTCATTGCTGGCAATTACCATCCCTTCATTATCTTTCCACATTCTAAAATTTCATTGAAATATATCACACCAGTAATCCCAGCATTTTGGGAGGCCGAGGTGGGAGGATTGCTTGAGCCCAGGACTTCGAGATCAGCCTGGGCAGCATAGCAAGACCCCATCTCTGTTTTTTTATTAGAAAAAAAAAAGAAAAAATACATTGTCCACTGCTACCCCCTTTTCTTTTACTGGCTTTAAAAGTGAATACAGTTTTAAATCTTTATTTTTAAATTTTTATTTATTTATTTTTTTGAGACAGGGTCTTGCTCTGTAATCACAGCTCACTGCAGCCTCGACCTCCTGGGCTCAAGTGATCCTCCTGCCTCATAAGTTCTGAGAACTTCTGAGAAGCTGGGATTACAGGTGTGAGCCACCATGCCCGGCCCAAATAATGTTTTTAAAGTTCTTTGTGGCTGGGTGAGGTGGCTCATGCCCATAATCCTACCACTTTGAGGGACCGAGGAGAGAGGACTGCTTGAACTCAGGAGTTCAAGACCAGCCTGGGCAACATAGTAAGACCATGTCTCTACAAAAAATTTTTAAAATTAGCCAGGTGTGGCGATGCACACCTATAATCCCAGCTACTCAGGAGGCTGAGCCGGGAGTACCTCTCAAACCCAGGAAGTCATGGCTGCAGTGAGCTATGATCATACCACTGCACTCCAGCCTGGGTAACAGAGTAAGCCCCTATTTCAAAAAAATTTTGTTTTGCCTTTTTTATTCTCAGTAACTAACACTCATACCCCTGTCCAAACTAAGGGCAGCATGTTCTTAAATGGCTGTGTTTTCAGTGGCTGCAGGCCAATCCTGACGCTTCACCTCCCCTGCCCCATTCCATGATGGCCGGAAGGACTCCTGTTAGTCTTTACTCCCAGTCTAGGGTGAGTGAGGATTAGTCTCAAGGGAAATCATGGGCTTATGGTAATTACAGTAACTCATCACTTCCATATTTCTACATCGGGCCTGCCCTCCTTTATGACTGCATCCTGGTAGAACAGGTGGATGTGATTAGTCATTCTTTAATGCACATTTATGTCCTTTGCCTTGGTTACTAAGATAGATGGGTATTAGGAGTCCTTGCTTTGGAGCCAAGTTATGCCCTGGGGATTTTAGTTAGGCTAAATCCATCAAAGATACTAAAAAAAGTATATGAGATCAAGAAGTAAATTAGCTCTTGAGCTATGGAATGTTCTTCCACAGGATTAGTATTTCACATTGTTTTCATTGTCATTGGGTACTAACTAGGTATAATTTAGTGTTTGAGCAGTTTTCCACCTGGACAGAAAAAACTGCAGTGCACTGACACAATTATATGTCTGCTGTCTACTGCTCTTAGCCAACTCTTAGTAGCCAGAGGCTTTTGTTTACTCCTTGGGGAAGTCATCCTGTGGATTTTATTTTCAGGTGATCTTAAAGGGCAGCAAGGAGCGCAGCACTGGGGCCACTGGAGTTAATGCAGACTCCTCCCGCTCCCATGCCGTCATCCAAATTCAGATCAAAGATTCAGCCAAGAGGACATTTGGCAGGTGAGCTGGAAATATCAGGGAGTTACATTGTCTGCCTTTCCTTTAATGTGACTTTGAAGTATGTTTTCTCAACAACAGGATACCCTGCTACCATGGAGTTCTTCATTGCAGGGATACAGAGTAGAGTTGTTAGCCCTGAAATAAATCATTGTACTAAAGTGTCAACAGTTGATTAACCATGAAGTAATGACCTATTGTTGGTCAACCCTAAGTTATTAAAAGGGACATTGATTGCTTCTAACATGAAACACAGTTTCAGCAGAGAAACAGTAGGGAATGCATCTCAGAGAGCTTACACGCCAAAAAAAGGTAGGGGGAGAAGATTAATCCATTCTTCTTGAAAGAAGCCATAAGACAATTGGATACATTCATTGCCTCTCTGGTGCTCTCTTAGCAAATAATCTGCCACACTGATGGATGAGCCTATTTCACCTCTGAGTAATGAATGTTTTTCTTTTCTTTTTCTTTTTTTTTTTTTTTTTTGCTGGATTGCTGTCCGCAAAAGTTTCTATGTAATTACCTAAGTGGTTACTTAAGTGATTAGCATTGTGGTCATTTAGCCTTTTGGGAAGAATGTTTTATTAATTTTAGTCATACTTTCTCATAAATTATTAAAACCAATAGACATGTTTGAGTGGACAGTACCAGCATCAACTGACAGATCAGAATCTTGTGATACTCTTGGAAAGCTGACACTCATGTTTCTTTGTTTGTAAGATAGGGCTTCACTCTGTCACCCAGGCTGGAGTGCAGTGGCATGATCATAGTTTACTACAGCCTGGAACTCCTGGGCTCAAGCATTCCTCCTGCCTCAGCCTCCTGAGTAGCTGGGACTACAGGTATGGACCACCACACCTAGCTATTTTTTTTTTTTAAGAGACAGGGTGGATGTGAGGGAGATCTGGCTGCGACATCTGTCACCCCATTGATCTCCAGGGTTGAGACGGGGTCTCTCTGTTTTGCCCAGGCTGGTCTCGAACTCCTAGGCTCAAGAGTCTGGCAACAGAGCGAGACTCCGTCTCAAAAAAAAAAAAAAGGTAAAAATTAAGTGGTAGGCTGATGGTGGCTGACATCTGTAATCTCAGCACTTTGGGAGGGCAAGGTGAGAGAATCTCTTGAGCCTAGGAGTTAGATCAATGGGGTGACAGATGTCGCAGCCAGATCGCCCTCACATCCACCCCGTCTCTTAAAAAAAAACATAGCTAGGTATGGTGGTCCACACTTGTAGTCCCAGCTACTCAGCCTACCAGCTAATTTTTACAATTTTTTTTCTTTTCTTTTTTTTTTTTTTTTGAGACGGAGTCTCGCTCTATTGCCCAGGCTGGAGTGCAGTAGCACAATCTCGGCTCACTGCAAGCTCCGCCTCCCGGGTTCACGCCATTTTCCTGCCTCAGCCTCCTGAGTAGCTGGGACTACAGGCACCCGCCACCACGCCTGGCTAATTTTTTGTATTTTTAGTAGAGACAGGGTTTCACCATTTTAGCCAGGAGGGTCTCGATCTCCTGACCTCATGATCCGCCCGCCTCAGCCTCCCAAAGTGCTGGGATTACAGGCATGAGCCACCATGCCCAGCCAATTTTTTTTTTTTCTTGAGATGGAGTCTTGCTGTCGCCAGGCTGGAGTGTAGTGGCGTGATCTTGGCTCACTGCAACCTCCGCCTCCCGGGTTCAAGTGATTCTCCTGCCTCAGCTCCCAAGTAGCTGGGACTACAGGCATGCACCACCATACCCAGCTAATTTTTGTATTTTTAGTAGAGACGGGGTTTCACCATGTTGGCCAGGGTGGTCTTGATCTCTTCACCTCGTGATCTGCCTGCCTCGGCTTCCCAAAGTGCTGGGATTACAGGCATGAGCCACCACACCCAGCCAGTTTTTAGAATTTTTTAAGAGATGGGGTCTTGCTGTGTTGCTTAGGCTGGCCTAGAACTCCTGGCCTCAAGCAGTGCTCCACCTCAGCCTCCCAAGTAGCTGGGTTTATAGGTGTGAGCCACCACACCCAGCTCAGTAATGTATTTTCTTTCCAGAGGATGGGCCAATGTTAATTTCTTCCAGTGGTCACAGAATGCTGGCTGATACAAAAATAAAGCTTCTGGCCAGGCGCGGTGGCTCATGCCTGTAATCCCAGCACTTTGGGAGGCCAAGGCGGGCGGATCACGAGGTCAGGAGATGGAGACCATCCTGGCTAACACGGTGAAATCCTGACTCTACTAAAAATACCAAAAATTAGCCGGGCGTGGTGGCGGGCGCCTGTAGTCCCAGCTACTCGGGAGGCTGAGGCAGGAGAATGGCGTGAACCCGGGAGGCAGAGGTTGCAGTGAGCCAAAATCGCGCCACTGCACTCCAGCCTGGGCGACAGAGTGAGACTCCGTCTCAAAAAATAATAATAAAAATAAAATAAAATAAAATAAAGCTTCACAGAAGTCACTCCTGCTGTGTCTTTTCTCTAGGATCTCTTTTATTGACTTGGCTGGCAGTGAAAGAGCAGCAGATGCAAGGGACTCAGATAGACAGACAAAGATGGAAGGTGCAGAAATAAATCAGAGTCTACTGGCTGTAAGTTGTTCAAAATCTTTAATCTAAAAATCCTTCTTGAAAGACTGCCCATTACATACAGGCAGAGTGGATGAATGTGGGATGGAATCAGCAAAGCAACTGCCCTGTTCTTATGTAGTAATAGAATGCCAGGGTTGGAGATAGAGGGCTGACCAGACAGACTCTCACAATTCTAGGCAACTATTTTCTTCTCTCCTTGCCTTCTTTTCCCCTGGTCAATCCATGCCAATTAGGAACAGAAGTATTTCTGCAGTTGCTGAATGGTTAACTCCGCTAAGCTTTCTCTCTTTCCCCAAGCTTTAAAATTATATTAATTTTTCAAACATAGAAAAGTAGAACAAATAGTATCATGATCTCCCATATACCTGTCAGATTCAACAGTTACCAACATATGAAAAATCTAAGCAACCCCTTCCCTCCCCCTGGTTGGATTATTTTAAAGAAAATCCAGCTGGGAGCGGTGGCTCACGCCTATAATCCCAGCACTTTGGGAGGCCAGGGCAGGTGGATAACTTGAGGTCAGGAGTTCGAGACAAGACTGGCCAACATGGTGAAACTCTGTCTCTATTAAAAATACAAAAGTTAGCTGGGCGTGGTGCCGAGCGCCTGTAATTCCAGCTACTCAGGAGGCTGAGGCAGGAGAATCGCTTGAACCCAGGAGGTGGAGGTTGTAGTGAGCCGAGATCGTGCCATTGCACCCCAGCCTGGGTGACAGAGTGAGACTCAGTCTCAAAAAAAAAAAAAAAAGAAAGAAAATCCTAGTCATCATGTCATTTATTCCATAAATATTGTATATATCTCAGCTGGGCGCAGTGGCTCACGCCTGTAATCCCAACACTTTTGGAGGCCGAGGCAGGTGGATCACTTGAGGTAGATCAGCCTGGCCAACATGGTGAAACCTTGTCTCTACTAAAAATAACCAAAAATTAGTTGGGCATGGTGGCAGGCTGTTACAACCCCAGCTACTCGGGAGGCTGTGGCAGGAAAATCTCTTGAACCCAGGAGGTGGAGGTTGCAGTGAGCTGAGATCATGCCACTGCACTCCAGCCTGGGCAACAACAGAGCAAGACTCCATCTCAAAAAAAAATTTTTTTAAATGTATCTCAAAGAGATACTTTTTAATGTAGCCATAATGCCATTATCTTACCTAAAGAAGTAATTCTTTATTATCCAATAAGTATTATAATTCCTCTAATTGTCCCATAAGTGTCTTTTTATAGTTAACTTGTTCAAATCAAGGTGCCAATAAAATCCTATGTGAGTTCTTATTCCCTCTTTCATTTTTTCTATATCAGTGTATTGGTTGAAGAAAACTGGGTCACTTGTCCTGTAAGATTTGCCACATTCTGTACTTGGCCACCTGCATCTTTGTGTTGATGTTTAACATGTTACTCATTATCCTTTATGTTTCCTGTCAGGTGGCTAAGCTCTATAGCCGTGTTGTTCACTATGGCAGCCACCAGCCACATGTGGCAATTGAGCACTTGAAATGTGGCTGGTCTGAATTAAGATATGCTCTAAGTGTAAAATACACACTGGATTTTGATTACCAAAAAAGCTTGTAGAATATCTCATTTATTTTTTTCATATTGACTACATGCTGAAATAATATTTTGGATATATTGAGTTAAATAAAATATATAATTAACATTAATTTTATCTGTTTCTTTTTCTTTTTTAAAAAAAGATATGACTATTAGAAATTTAGAATTACATATGTGTTTTGCATTTGTGGCTCATGTATTATTTCTGTTGGGACAGTCCTGAATTAGAGATGTGATCAGATTTAGGTTCTATATTTTTTGGCAAAAACAATTCATAGGTAGTTCTTAGATTTTCTGTAGCAATACATTAGGAGATAGAGAATGTCTAGTTGTCTCTCTTTGTGATTTTAAGATTGAAAAGAGATTCAAGTGTTGTCAGCCTAATTTCTCTATTATAAAGTTTCCTTTCAGCCTTTATTTTTTATTTTATTTTATTTATTTTTACTTTTCTTTCCCCTTAGTCTCTGTTAAGGACATGCCATTCAGCCGTTTTTAACCTAAGAATTTTATCAGCCATTGAAGAATCTCATCTATATCTATTATTTTATTAAGAGTTCCAGAATGGTGATATTCTAATTCTAATATTCCTTCTGTATGTATTAGCTGAAAAGAATAATTTTCCCTCAACTATCTGATTTTCCTGACATACAGTTTGTAGTGGAAGCAAGATGATTCTTTAATTTATTCACCACTTTTCAGAATGAGTTGGAGTTCATGTTACCTAAACATAATATGAGTTTGTTTTATTGTTGTTGTTTACCTTTTTTTCTATTATTATAAACTGAAATCATTATATCTTTTTTTGCTGCTTAAATTCAACATATTTAGCCAATAGGAGCTGTTTCAAGAATGTTCCTGTGTCTTTTTGGTACAACCCTACTCGTTCTTGATAGCTTCCTGGCTTTCTGATATGACAAGAGCCTATGTTCTAGGCTCATTTTATACATTTCCCTCTCCAGACCTCGAATCAGCCATTTCTTCAATGAGTCTTGGTTTCTTTTTCTTTCTTTTTCTTTCTTTTTTTTTTTTTTTTCTGAGATGGAGTCTCACACTGTTGCCCAGGCAGGAGTACAGTGGCACAATCTTGGCTCACTGCAACCTCTGCCTGCTAGGTTCAAGCGATTCTCCTGCCTCAGCCTCCCGAGTAGCTGGGATTACAGGCACCTGCCACCACAACCAGCTAATTTTTTGTATTTTTAGTAGAGACCCGGTTTCACCATGTTGGCCATGCTGGTCTTGAACTCCTAACCTCGTGATTCGCCTGCTTCGGCCTTCCAAAGTGCTGGGATTACAGGCATGAGCCACCGCGCCTGGTTGAGCCTTGGTTTTTTTGAGACGGAAATGGTGTTTAGAGACTTCAGTCTGTGTATTAGGGGTGCTTATCACTACTGTGTTAGCCCTTGCTTCTGGGCCTTTTCTGTGGACAGAGCTAATAAATAAGGTGTTATTTTTTGTTTTGAAAAGGAAAAATATATGTGGTATATGTGGGATTTATAGTAATAAATTAGTTTAAGATTGCAGGCCAGGCCCAGTGGCTCACACATATAATCCCAGCACTTTGGGAGGTTAAGGTGGACAGATCACTCGAGCCCAGGAGTTTGAGACCAGCTTGAGCAACATAATGAGACCCTGTCTCTGCAAAAAACTTAAAAATTAGCTGGGCGTGGTGGCACACGCCTGTAGTCACAGCTACTTGGGAGGCTGAGGTGGGAGGATTGCTTGAGCCCAGGAGGTTGAGGCTGCAGTGAGCCATGATTGTACCACTGCACTCCAGCCTAGGCAACAAAGCAAGACCCTGTCTCAAAAAATAAACTGTCTCGTCTGAAGAAAGCCAATGAATAATAATATTAAAAAAATAAATAAAATTAAAATTACACAGTTTTTATTTAATTTATTTAAATGTTTATTTGTCTCTTTTTTCTGTTATGCTAGAAATCTTAGTTCCTAGCAACATTTATTTGCTCTACTTTAATATATATGTATTTCAAAATAATGCTAATATTATTTATAATATGATTAATTCAGTTCAAGATTTTTATCGCAGTTTTCTTTTTAATTGGGTTGTATCCCACTAAGGATGTACAGTCATAATATTATGCTGTCAAATCACCTGAAATAATTCTTCTCTGTGTGTTTAAGCCTGCCAATTTCATAGTGTTAGGTTCATTTGTTTGGTTTTGGTTTTACGAATTGCCTTATTTATTTTGATTTAACCTTATTTTGTAATTATTTTAAAACATTTAGGCCAGGAGCTGTGGCTCACACCTGTAATCCCAGCATTTTGGGAGGCCAAGGAAGGAGGATCACTTGAGCCCAGGAGTTCAGGACCAGCCTGGGCATCACAGGGAGACCCCTGTCTTTACAAAACATTTACAAATTAGCTGGGTGTGGTGGTGCGCACCTGTAACCCAAGCTACTTGGGAGGCTGAGGTGAGAGGATCACTTGAGTCCAGGTATTCAAGGCAGCAGTGAGCTGTGATTGTGCTACTGCACTCCAGCCTGAGATACAAAGTGAGACCCCATCTCTTAAACAAACAGCAAAAAGCAAAAAAAATTATGTGGTTTTAAAGTAAAAATTGTAAAATAAGCCACATTCAAAGAAGTATAGTTTCCATCCCTGTACTCTCAACCTTGTTACCTTCCTCCCCTTGTAAAATCATTTTTCTGTCTATATATATGTTTGCACTCACCCCTTTTCTTAGAAAAAATGCTAACATACTCTCAACACTATTTTGCACTTCGCTTTTGTCACTTAACGGCATCCTCAAGATCACTGCATGACTGTACATAGAGCTCTTCCTCATTCCTTTTTCCAGTTGTATATGCTGCCTTGTGCTGCTCCACATTATTTACTTATTTTTTATCAGAACTGAAGTCTCCAGGTAGGTACATTCTTTCCAGACTTCATGAGGGGTAAGTTGGGAGGGTGAGAGAGGGAGCCAAACTTTTTTTATTTAAAAAAAGAAAAAAAGCTTGTAGGGATTGGTGGCCACGCTTGAATTTGAGTCTGTGAGGAACAGGGTTTGATTACTTGTTCGTTCTCAGTGGAGAATCTTCTCAGTGCTAAAGTTGGGGAATACTGGATAGATTTTTAATAAAAGAGGAAATTTCCTCACACCTGTTTATACCCTGCAGCTTCTTGGATAGAGGTAGGGCAGTTGCGGGCATCTGTGGCTGCTGCTAAGAACAGCCATAGCACACTCTGGAGGCAAACTACCTATTCTTGGTGGCAATTCCAAGGGATTGCTTCCACCTTCTTCCCTCTTTTTTTTTTTTTTCTCTTGAGACGGAGTCTCGCTCTGTCACCCAGGCTGGAGTACAGTGGCATGATCTCAGCTCACTGCAACCTCTACTTCCCAGGTTCAAGCTTTTCTCCTTTCTCAGCCTCCTGAGTAACTGGGATTACAGGCATGTGCCACCATGCCCGGCTAATTTTTTTTTTTTTGTATTTTTAGTAGAGACAGGGTTTCACCATGTTGGCCAAGCTGGTCTCGATCTCCTGAGCTCAAATAATCTGCCCGCCTCAGCCTCCCAAAGTGCTGGGATTACAGGCATGAGCCACTGCACCCAGCTCCTTTTCTTTTCTTTTACTATCTTTTAGCCTAGATGCATCACTCAGAAATAGAAGGTCTCTCCTCCCTCATCTTGCCCCCCACGACCCCCACCACTGTTTCTGATGGGAGTGTTTCCCCTGGAGGTCCACATATCCAGATCTCTGCTGTCCTTATCATGTCCAATGAGCGCTTCTCACTGAGGGAGTACAGCCATGAGCAAGGAACATTCCTTTGCCTTTGGGCCACAGACCCTGCTGTTTTTAAATGAAGGGTCGTTTTTAATTGTGTGTGGTCAAAGTGCTGGCTGTAATCCCAGCACTCCAGGAGGCTGAGGCAGGAGGATCATTTGAGGCCAGGAGTTTGAGACCAGCCTGGGCAACAATATACAGAGACCCCCATCTCTACAAAAAAAAAAAAAAATTAAGAAAAAAATAAATAAAACGAGGGGGTAGGCCTAGGTGATTTCTCAGTTTCCTTCTAGCTCTGGCTCTAGAATTTCTCCTACCCCATTCAGATAGTTTATATCTGAATCTATGCTTGACTCTACGCCAACGGGTGTGCATGTGTGAGCAGGGAGTGGGGAAGTGGATATAGATATTTTGTCTGTTTAAGTGCATCAACAGTTGGGAAGAATGTGAGGAGAGAAAGGGAGCCAGCAAGCCAGAACTACCACCACATGAGCTTGAACTCTGGGACTTGAGGGTAGGTCCCAGCGTCTGTCTGTTCCCCGCCGTCAACTCAGGGGCAGTCCTAGGATCCCAGCCTCTAAGCTGGGAGGCCTTCAGCTAGGCAGCACAGGATGGTGTTTCCCAATCTAGCTTGGTTTCTCTTGTTGAATGGAAACTACAGGCCATTTTGACTTCCTTTTGGAGGATTGTCTGAGTGTGGTTTATTGAAGAAAAACAAGCTTCCTGTGGAGGCGGCATCAGGTCTGTTACTCTCCCTTTGCACTTGATACTTGATGTGCTTGTTCTCCCACTTTGCAGCTGAAGGAATGTATCCGAGCACTGGATCAGGAACACACCCATACTCCCTTCAGGCAAAGCAAACTAACTCAGGTAAAGTTAAATGTGAGCCTTGAGTTTGTTCTGATTCATTCCTTTCTTCCTTATTTCATGTATTTGTTCATTCAGTCGAGCATCCACTGTCAGTAAGACATGATGCTGGGCACAGTGGGGAAAAGAGAAGGAGAGGAGTGAAATTCCATCCAGGAACTCTGTCTACAAGTTGAGTATCATTAATCTAAAAATCTGAAATCTGAAATGCTTCAAAAATCAAAACTTTTTGTTGTTGTTTTTGAGACAGGGTCTTACTCTGTCACCCAGGCTAGAGTGCAGTGGTGTGATCTTGGCTTACTGTGGCCTCTGCCTCCCAGGCTCAAGCAATCCTCCCACCTCAGCCTCCCAGGTAGCTGGGACTACAGGCATATGCCATCATGCCTGGCCATATATATATATATATATATATATATATATATATATATTTTTTTTTTTTTTTTTTTTTTTTTTTTTTTTGGTAGAGACAGGGTTTCACCATGTTGCCTAGGCTGGCCTCGAACTCCTGAGCTCAAACGATCCGCCTGCCTCAGCCTTCCAAAGTACTGGGATTACAGGCATAAGCCACCATGCCTGGCCAAAATTAAAAACTTTTTGAGTGCCATTATGCTCAAAGGATTTCAGATTTTTGGGTTAGGGATGTGCAACCAGAAGGATAATGCAAATATTCCAAAATCTGAAAAAAAATCTGAAATCCAAAACAACTTTTCTTCCCAAGCGTTTCGGAGAAGGGATACTCAGCCTGTCATAGGACTTTAGGAAGGGGCAGACTCAGGCAGGGATATCTTCAGGATGGGGTGGCAGGGGTTCCTTGGGGAGAGCAGTGCTGTTCTGGTCACCACCTTTCTGTTTATTTCCAGTGTATGGTAACTCTGGGCAGGGCACAGTGGCTCATGCCTGTAATCCCAGCACTTTGGGAAGCTGAGGCAATTGGATCACTTGAGCCCAGGAGTTCCAGACCAGCCCAAACAACCTTTCTATAAAAAATTTAAAAATTAACTGGGTGTGGTGGCTCGTGCCTGTGGGCCCATGGTCCCAGCTACTTGGGAGGCTGAGGCGGGAGGATTACTCGAGCCCTGGAGGTTGAGGCTGCAGTGAATTGTGAGCACGCCACTGCACTCCAGCCTGGGCGACAAAAAGAGACCTCATCTTAAAAAAGAAAAGAAAATGTTGAATTAGTGAAATCTCTAAGCCTTTGCATTGAATAGGGTGACGTAGCTACCTGATACTTTCTTGGCTCTAAGACTTAGACCACTGTTTCGGCACAAAAAAATAATGGCTTCAGGCAGTTAAAATGAATGAGCTAGATTTTCTATATGTACTGATAGGAAAGATGACCAAGATCTATTGTGATGTGAAAAAAGCAAGCTGTAGAACAAGGTAATAATGTGATTGCCTATATGATTTCTACTATTACGCAGCCACACAGGGAAAAACGTTTAAAAAGATGCAGAAGAAACAGCATTGGATCTATTTGGAAGTAACAATGGGAGTAAAGGTGAAACTGCAACTTTTCATGTTAAAAGATCATGTACTGTATGACCACTTTCTGTTTTTATCATTTTTAAAATGTGCGACATGGAAAAAAACACTACACAAAAAAATGACATAAATGTTAACTATGATTATTCTTAGTGGAACAAATAGGGTTTTTGTTTTGTTTTGTTTTTCTGTCATGAAAGTGTGCCTCTTTATTAACAAAAAACTCCAGTAGATGTTAAATCAGCATTCATAATGGCTGCGGAAGAGTGGCATGGGAGGGTGTACCTAGGTATAAACAGCTGTGAAGACAGTTGTGGGTGTCCTGGGTTCTTTTTCGCCTTGTGTCCTGTGCACAGTGGAAGACAGACAAGGTAGAGAGATGTCTAGGAGAAGATTTTTTTGTATGCTGCAGGATGAAGCCAGCCCCGCACATGGGCAGAGTTTTATTCTGTGCAGCTAGAGTAGCGGCTCCATAGTACTTGGGCAGAACCTGTAAAAACATAGTTCCTTACCCATCACAGTTGGTGATCTGTAGGTTAGGTCTTCTCAAACATGATTTTAACCAGGGACCCAGGAACCTACTTATAGGTGGTTAGTCCTGATTCTGGCATTGGCTCTGTTGCTTTTTACTTATTTATTTATTTATTTTTGAGAGGGAGTCTCACTCTGTCGCCCAGGCCGGAGTGCAGTGGTGTGATCTTGGCTCACTGCAACCTCCACCTCCTGGGTTCAAGCGATTCTCCTGCCACAAGCCCCTGGAGTATCTGGGACTACAGGTGTGTGCCACCATGCCTCACTAACTTTTGTATTTTTAGTAGAGACGGGGTTTCGCCATGTTAGCGAGGCTGGTTTTGAACTCCTGACCTCAGGTGATCTGCCCGCCTTGGCCTCCCAAAGTGCTAGGATTACAGGCATGAGCCACCGTCCCCAGCCAGCTCTGTTATTTTTTAAGACAAGTTCCCCATTTCCAGAAAATGTGTTTCTTTTTAATTAAAACATAAGAATTCCAATTGTACATACAAGTATAAAGAAGAAAGTAAAAGATAAAGTCCCAGACCTCAGTGATAACCACACACTGCTACGTTAGTGAACTTCCTTCTAGTCATCTCTCTGCCCGCATAGCCTCATATGGATCTGCTTACGGAGTTATGGAGTCATACACCTTTTTCCCTCGAAGATAGAAGCTTTAGATATCTTTCTGTGTTCCTAAGTACAGGTATAATCATTTTTAATGGTTTTATTATATTCAGTGTATAATTATTTAGTTTGTTCCCTGTTTATAGATACCTAGATTTTTACTAAATATTACTATTATAAATAATGTAATGAATATCATATATACTTTTTTTGGTCAATTGGGCAATTATCTCCTTAGGATAAAGTCCTAGAAGTGTGATTGCCAAACCAAAACATACTTTTTCCTGTTTTTGAGACAGGTTCTTGCTATGTTGCCCAGGCTAGTCTTGAACTCCTGGGCTCAAGCGATCCTCCTGCCTCAGCCTTTTGAGTAGCTGGGACTACAGACAGGTGAGTGCCACTGTACCTGGCTTCTTTTTACATTTTGATACATATTGCCAAACTGCCCTCTGGAAAGCTTGTCCAGTTCATGGTACATGCTAGCGTAGAAGAGTACTCATTTCCCTGGACCCTCACCAAGGAATGGCATCGTTAGTCTCTTAATCTAATGAGTTAAAAATATTGGTTTTTTTAATGGTTTGTTTGCATTTTTTGGATTAGTGATGTGGTGAGTACCTTTTTCTGTGTTTATTGGCCATTTGTATTTTTTCTTTTGTTAATGTTAATTACCTTTTTGTGGACAGAAGGGAACTATGGCCCAGCATCCTGCACCTAGTAAGTAGTCAGTATGCACTTTGTTAATTGACTTCACTCATTGACCTGCCTTCTGTTTTGGACAGGTCCTGAAGGACTCTTTCATCGGCAATGCCAAAACCTGCATGATCGCCAACATCTCACCAAGCCACGTGGCCACTGAACACACTCTCAACACCTTGCGCTATGCTGACCGGTAAGTCAGCTCCCAGATGGCAGGTTGTGTGTAAGTGTGCATGTGCATGTCTGTGCAGCACGCGTGTGTGAGCATGTGTGCACGCGTGTGTGTGTGCAAGTGCATGCACATGTCTCTCCCACTCACACACACATAGGGATCTGACCTTGAGCGCCACAGCCTTGTTCTTGGCAATTAGTCATTTGAAGACTGTGACCTGGTAGGCCCTGTCACTTTGCAAGCATGACAAGAGGAAAATGACACATTCCCTTGTTCAGGAGTTAATTCTGTCAGTGGCTTTTAAATGGCTAGTGAGAAGTGAAATATTAATGGGTGGAAGGCTCAGTGTTGTTTTCTTCCTGCTGGCCTCAGCCCAAATTGTAAGAGATAGAAGACATATTACTTGTCAAGGCAGAATCACTTAGAGCTATCTGTGTCCAGAAGGGCCCAACCCAAACATGTTAGAGGATAAACTGAGGTCCAGAGAAGGGTAGGATCTTTCCAAAGGCTCACTAGGAGTTGGTGTCAGAGCCAGCAACTCTTGACTGCCTGGCCAGGCCTCTTTGTGGGTGACTGTGGTATCTGCTGGGATCCCTTCCATCTCTCACCCTGTGGTCACATGTGCTCTCCTAGTAGGTAAGATGTTTTTGATTGCCATGACTGGGAAGAAGTGCTACTGGCATCTAGTGAGCAGAGGCCAAGGATGCTGCTAAACATCCTTCAAGAAATAATTATCTGGTACAAAATGTCAATAGTGCTAAGGTTGAGAAACCCTGGGAATAGACAAGTCATTTTTCCTTTCATGGAATGAGCACAAGCCTGTGTATTTCTGGAGGTTTTGCTTCCTGAGGTCCCAGCAGGTTTGAGGGAACTCATCTTCCTAGAGAAGCCTGAAAGGGGGTGGTTTGCAGAAAAAGAGGACTCTGTGGAATTGCAGGTAAGTGGTGGACACGAACTCCTGAGTTGGCCTCTCTCCAGGAAGCAGTGTGGGCCCTGCATAAACACAGTGCACTTCTGAGACTGGCGTCTCTGGCCTGTCCCTTACATGGGGCTGTGGTGATTTCCAAAAGGCTTCTTCTGATCATGGAATGTTGGGTGCATGCTTACATCCTCAGAGAAGACACTGTTCTTTCTCGTTTGTTTTTTAAAGACAGAGTCTCACCCTGTCACCCAGGCTGGAGTGTAATAGTGTGATCATGGCTCACTGCAGCCTTGAACTCCAGGGCTCAAGCAATATTCCCCGCCTCAGCCTCCCAAGTAGCTGGGCCTACAGACACGCATCACCATGTCTGGCTAATTTTTTTATTTCTAGTAGAGATGAGGTCTTGCTCTGTTGCCCAGGTTGGTCTTGAATTCCTGGGCTCAAACAGTCCTCCTGCCTCAACCTCCCAAAGTGCTGAGATTACAGATGTGAGCCACTACAACCAGCCAACACTGCTCTTTTTCATTCAGGTACAGAGGGATATCTCATGCTGAAACAGAATGTTCCCTTTTCCTCTTATTCTATCCCAGATAAAGAAATAACTCCCAATCCTTGTAATACTTTTCTTTGGTTTTTGTTTTCCCAGAAAGCTATAGAAAAGGAATTGCAGAACATGTGAAAATACACATTTAACATAAAATGATTATTTACAGGGTCAAAGAACTAAAGAAAGGCATTAAGTGTTGCACTTCAGTTACCAGTCGAAATCGGACATCTGGAAACTCCTCTCCAAAACGAATTCAGAGCTCCCCTGGGGCTTTGTCAGAGGACAAATGTTCTCCCAAAAAAGTCAAGCTGGGATTTCAGCAGTCACTCACAGTGGCAGCCCCTGGTTCCACGAGAGGGAAGGTCCATCCTCTGACCAGCCACCCACCCAACATTCCTTTTACTTCTGCACCTAAGGTCTCTGGTAAAAGGGGTGGCTCCAGAGGGAGTCCTTCACAAGAGTGGGTCATTCATGCTAGCCCTGTGAAAGGAACTGTGCGCTCTGGACATGTGGCCAAAAAAAAGCCAGAAGAGTCAGCACCATTGTGCTCTGAGAAAAATCGAATGGGCAACAAAACTGTCCTTGGGTGGGAAAGCAGGGCCTCAGGCCCAGGAGAAGGCCTAGTGCGTGGTAAGCTGTCCACCAAGTGCAAGAAAGTGCAGACAGTGCAGCCAGTACAGAAGCAGCTTGTGTCTCGAGTTGAGCTCTCCTTTGGCAACGCCCACCACAGGGCTGAGTACAGTCAAGACAGCCAGAGGGGCACGCCTGCTAGGCCTGCCTCTGAAGCTTGGACAAACATCCCGCCACATCAGAAGGAGAGGGAGGAACATCTGCGTTTCTATCACCAGCAGTTCCAACAGCCACCTCTCCTCCAACAGAAGTTAAAATACCAACCACTGAAAAGGTCTTTACGCCAGTACAGGCCCCCAGAGGGTCAGCTCACGAATGAGACTCCGCCTCTGTTCCACTCTTACTCTGAAAACCATGATGGAGCCCAAGTAGAGGAACTTGATGACAGTGATTTCAGTGAAGATTCTTTTTCACACATCTCTAGTCAGAGGGCCACAAAGCAAAGGAACACCCTGGAGAATAGCGAAGACTCATTCTTCCTGCACCAGACGTGGGGACAGGGTCCTGAGAAGCAGGTGGCAGAAAGACAGCAGAGTCTGTTTTCTAGCCCCAGGACAGGTGACAAGAAAGATCTAACTAAAAGCTGGGTGGACTCCAGGGACCCCATAAACCACAGAAGAGCAGCACTCGATCACAGCTGCAGCCCAAGTAAGGGGCCCGTGGACTGGAGCAGAGAGAACTCTACTTCCTCAGGGCCTTCTCCCAGAGACAGCCTGGCAGAGAAGCCATACTGTTCACAGGTAGATTTCATATATAGACAGGAAAGAGGTGGAGGCTCTTCCTTTGATCTCAGAAAGGATGCCTCCCAAAGTGAGGTTTCTGGGGAGAATGAGGGCAACTTGCCATCCCCAGAGGAAGATGGTTTCACTATCTCATTGTCCCACGTTGCAGTTCCTGGATCCCCAGACCAAAGAGACACAGTCACCACACCTCTGAGAGAAGTCAGTGCAGACGGCCCAATCCAGGTGACCAGCACTGTGAAAAACGGTCATGCTGTCCCAGGAGAGGATCCTAGGGGGCAGTTAGGCACGCATGCTGAATATGCTTCTGGACTCATGTCTCCCCTCACCATGTCCCTCCTGGAGAACCCAGACAACGAAGGGTCTCCTCCCTCGGAGCAGCTGGTCCAGGATGGGGCTACGCACAGTCTAGTGGCAGAGAGCACAGGGGGCCCAGTTGTGAGCCACACAGTGCCATCTGGTGATCAAGAGGCAGCCTTGCCAGTGTCTTCAGCAACTAGGCACCTGTGGCTGTCCTCATCTCCCCCTGATAATAAGCCTGGTGGTGATCTTCCAGCTCTGTCCCCATCACCCATCCGTCAGCACCCAGCTGACAAGCTGCCCAGCAGGGAGGCAGACCTAGGAGAGGCCTGCCAGAGCAGAGAGACTGTACTTTTCTCCCACGAACACATGGGTAGTGAGCAGTATGATGCTGATGCAGAGGAGACGGGGCTGGATGGCTCCTGGGGTTTCCCAGGAAAGCCCTTCACCACCATACATATGGGGGTACCCCATTCTGGACCTACACTCACCCCACGAACAGGAAGTAGTGATGTGGCTGACCAGCTCTGGGCCCAGGAGAGAAAACATCCTACAAGGCTTGGTTGGCAGGAGTTTGGTTTGTCCACAGACCCCATCAAGTTGCCCTGCAACAGTGAAAATGTCACATGGCTCAAACCCAGGCCGATCTCAAGGTGCTTAGCAAGGCCAAGTTCTCCCTTGGTTCCCAGCTGCTCTCCCAAGACTGCAGGGACACTCCGTCAGCCCACCCTGGAGCAAGCGCAGTAAGTTGGACACTTTCCCTAAGACTTGAGCCCCTTTGGCACCCACCCTCCACTCCAGCTTACTGTTTTGTCATGGACAAAGAGAAGCCATGCAGGGGTACGCAGGTGAGCTAGTCTGCTTCTAGCTCCAACCCTCTGCTTTGGTCCCGGGCCCTCCACAGGAAGTAGAAATGATAGCAGACCAGGCAATAGGCTCCATCTTGTGCCAAGTATGCCAGTTGCAGTCACAGCCTTGAGAGCCTTTCTGCAGGGAAGCTGTGGGAAATGGGCAGCTCCTGTGGAAGAGCAGCAGCACCCAGCCCTGCCCCCTCAGTACAGCTGGGGAGGCAGGAGACAACTTGGGAAGCCCCTGTCTCCCTCCCTGTATCTCGTTGGTACTCCGTAATTCCTTACCTAATCCTGAGAAAGAGCAGGTGAGGGGGAGCTGGTTGGTAAGCTGGCCTTGGTGAAAACCTTGACCATTTTCGGCAGAGGCAGCTCTCAGCTTACAAATGAGATCACCTCCAGAAAGCTACCCAGGAGAGGCTGGGAGGCCAGGAAGATCACAGTGTTCTCTCTGGTGTTCCCAGGCAGGTGGTCATCCGAGCACACCAGGAACAGCTGGATGAAATGGCTGAGCTCGGCTTCAAGGAGGAGACGCTGATGAGCCAGCTGGCTTCTAATGTAAGTAGCCCTGGCTGGACACTCACAGGCTGTTGGGAATTAGCCTGCAGCTAATTTGATGGTCATCCTTGTTTGCTGTGGCTGTGTGTGGGGAAAGGGTCTCCTGGCACACACTAACCATAACTGAGGCCTCACACCTCCTCTTGCCACGCCTTTGAGACATCTTGAGTATAGGTACAGGTGGGAGATGGTGCAACACTCGCCTTTTCCAGGCTAAAATGTTTCCAGCCTCTATCCTCAGCTGCTCTGCCTTCCTAGCGGTTTGTCGGGGCCCCTCCCTGTGACTAACAGTGACCAGTCTGCTGCCTACCACACGTAGGTATTTCTACCAAATACCCTTCTGCCTTACAAAATACTCCTCTGCTTGGAAAGTGTCTCGAATGCAGAGCAGCAGGCCCCACCCTGTGCCATAGCAACTATCCTACATGTTCTCCCGCTGGAAGAGTGGCCTGGGTTCTGAAACTTTCCTGCCAGAGGAGGGACTGAAAAAGCAGATCTGGCAGAGCGCCAGCAAGAGCAAAAGCTGTATTCGTCCCTTGTTTCCTTCTCAGGATTTTGAAGATTTTGTGACCCAGCTGGATGAAATCATGGTTCTGAAATCCAAGTGTATCCAGAGTCTGAGGAGCCAGCTGCAGCTCTATCTCACCTGCCACGGGCCCACCGCAGCCCCTGAGGGAACAGTGCCGTCTTAGAGCCAGACCCTGTGCCGAGATGGTGGGGGCCCTGCAGGAGTCTGTGCTGGGCTCTCAGGCTGGAGGAGCCTCTGCCAGGTCCTCCCTGCACACACCAGAACCCACACGCTGGTCCTGCCTATGCTAGCGTCACCCCAGCCCCACGTGGCTTCAGATAGGTCCCAGCTTCTCCCTCAGGGACAGGCCCCTGTCCCTCAGTTCCATGCACAGGAGTGCCTCCAAGGGTGGGCCAGGCCGAAGAACCTAATGCCTTTCCCTTGTGCCTAGAGAATATGATTAACTAACCCCTTGCCTGTGGGAATATATTTGGGTCTAATAACCCTGAAGTTTCTAAGTTTGGGGATCAGAGGATGGGGTGGTCAGTGGTAGCCTAGAGGTCAGAGGTCACAAGACAGAGAAGACAACATGCTGAGACCAGAGGCTTCACCAGCTGAATTCTGTGCCTAACTTAGAAGACTAAACACTGGCCCAAACTTAACCATTGGTGCTAGGGGGACAGGGGTGGGGTGAGCTCTGCCCCATCAGCCCTTGGAGATTGATTTGGGGATTTAGAGGCGTTTTTGAAAATGTAAATAGCATAAACCTTGACTTGATGTGTCACTGACAGCAGCAGATGTGAGACAGGCCTTATATTTACAGCTCCCTTCCCTTCCTGCAATCCAGTGTTGAGGCAGAAGAGGGTGCCTGTGTCACACATCAATTTTTCTCCTGACTTTTGCTCGGGTGAAAGGCCTCTGTACAATGCCCGATACTCTCATGCTTCCATGGCAGCTCCTGGCTCCTATCTGGGACACCTCACTACCCAGCCCCCTCATGGAATAGTCCATCTCCTAGCCTGGCCTTCATCCAGTTCACCCTGCCCAGCCACCCTGCCTCTCAGGGGTCTGTGTTGGGAACCTTGGCAGTTGAACAGAGTGCTCTGTTCAACAGTCTGAGGCCTCTGAAACAGAATTCACACACAAACCTTCAGCCAAGTTCTGCCTGCTGTGTATCTTTTTAGCAGGAAGCAGCTCAGGACAGGGAAGACAAAGTAGCCTCCAGGTGCCAATTACTTTAAAGCCACTCTGGGTCAAATGGAGATTCATGAGTCACGGCCTTGGCCCGAACGCCCATTACTATGTGAGCCTTTATTTCCTTCAGATAAAGGATAACTTTTTACGGTTTTAAAAGGAGGGCTTAATTAAAAGGCCAAGAAGAGGGTTAAATGGCTCTCTTGAGACACTAGCAGCCTGGTCCAGTCACCCTTTGTCAGCCTGACAGTGCCTCATCTGACCGCCAGGGGGCATCCTTATTGGTGCTTCCCGGCTGCAGGGCACTGCGGCCCCTCCCTCACATGATCACTAAAAACCTTCAAAGACCCAGTCTAGCCAAAAGCTCAAGTGGGACAATGGCACAGTATTAAGGTCAAGGACAAAAACTTACTTACTTTAGGAATGAACCCTATTCTATCATCATATACAACAGCACCACTGAGAGCTGGTGAAACAGTTTAAATCCCATCCTCTGCTTGTGGCAAATGATGCATAAATGCCTGCTGCTCACAGTAAAAGGGCTTCTTCCTCTTTTACTGGGTGATCCCCCTGAAGGCCCAGCCTATCCCAACTCCACAGTCAGGAAGGCCTACGTCCTTGGTCCACAGACGGAGCTGGGCCAGGTTTAAAAGACTCAGTCTAGGCTTGCCTTTGCAAACCAAAAACGAGGACAGGTCTGAAGTGGGAAGAAAGCTCCGAAATAGAAAACGGTTAGGTCCTATTCTATCCCCAGCAAATCTAAGCAAGAAATCTCTTTATACACCACATGGCCCCCCCACTCCCATAAAACAGCCTTGGTAATAAAGAAGTTATCACACCAAGACATACCTTTTAGATTTTTATTAGTAGTTCTCTCTGAAGAATCAAAATAGTTAGTTAGCAAATTATTTTAGATTCAAGACTGTATATCCTTTGTATTTAGAT